>NC_000002.12:195065375-195368405 GCF_000001405.40 Homo sapiens
CGGTAGTTCTTTTAGCCAAAAATCTAGTTGAGTAGTTATTATTTCTTATGCTTTTCCATGTTTTAATTCATTAACTTGTGCTTTTTATCTTTATATTAATTTTTCTTTAAATAGACTTTGGTTTATTTTGTTTGAAAGAACATATTTAGTTCATAAAGTAGTCTTTCTTGTTTAATAATATAGGTGCTTGGCTGTGATTCTTTCTTTAAGCCTTACATTAGCTGTATTCCTTAGGTTTTAATACATGCAGTTTTAAGTTTTCATTTTTTTAATCTATATAATATGCCAGTGATGCTTTATTTTTCTTTACCTCAGAGATTTTTGAAAGGAAGAATTGTTTTTCTTTTTAAATTTCCATATGGAATTTTTTGTTTATATCCTTGTTTTATGCTATCACTTTAAATTGTATTGATTTTTGAGTTCCAAAAAGTTGTTTTGTACCACTTCTTCATTTTGAAAATTATTAAAGTTTTCTTTGCTCTTCATCTAGGATCAGTTCTAGATGTTCTTCTGTGTGTGTGTGATTCTGTCTCTCTTTCTCCCCAACTGTACAATTCATTATATATTATTTAAATCTACCTGATTAATTACATTAATTTGCCCTTCATAGGCTTCTTTTGTGATTTCGTTCCTCAGATATAAGAAAGATAAATTAATGTTTTAATTATAGTTATGTTACTGTTTATTATTTTACATTGTTTCTCATGGCTTTTGTTTTCTTAATATTCATGGCATATTACTTGGTACATAAAGATTCACAGACTCCATCCTTTTACTTTCCATTTTTATTTCAAATGTATCTCTTATATATACCACATAAAGATATATTATTATTATACCATCTGAAAGTTATTTTTAATAAAATATTTTACTGATATGAAATTTAATCAGAATTCCATCATGTTATTTTGTTTTTATGTTCTCTTAGTGTTTTTGTCTTTTATATAATGTGATTTGTAATTTTGTTTGTATAATACTTGTTTTGTTTAATACTTGTTTGTATAATACTTGTTTTGTTGTTTAAAAACTTTTTTTCTGGTAATGTGGAAAGAGTATGATCTGTTCAACTAATCTGTAGCATTATACATGTAAATATGATTATTTTAATCTTGAAAACTTAAATGTATATCACTTCCACTTTCCAATTTTATCAAATTATTATTTCTATATTGTCAGGATTTAGAATATTTACGTTGTCTTTTGTAGCCATAATTTTAACAATTGTTATGAATTGAAATAATTTAATTCTTACTACCAGTCCCTTCCTTCACAGGTTTTAAATTTATCTCCTGGTAAGCTAAATTTCCTTTTTTTTTTCTTTGTCTTGCTTTTCTAAGAAGAATGTGTGCTGCTATTGTTTCTGAATTCTTACATGTTTGAAAATGTTTCCTTCCTGTTTTAACTCTGAGCAAAAATTTGGTTGGTTAAACAATTCTTAGAGCATCCTTTATTTTACTAAAGATGTTGTAGACAATGTTTTGCTGTTGGGGCATATAAAGTACAGAACCAACCTAGTTTAGTTTTCCTAAAAATGGTGACAAATTAGTCTCCTCAAATGTGCACGGTATTTTTTTCTCTATCTTGAACGTCTAGTAACTTTACCAAGACATGTCTCAGTATAGATTATTTATAATAACTTGATAAAATTTCTGATAAACTATTATCTGGAGAAATTGTCTATCTCTTTTCTAATAAAGCTGTTATTTTAAACCTAATTTTTAAAATAAAAATTAAACTTTAAGTTTAAAATTTTATTAAATAAAAATTTTATTTTTATGAATGTCATGTGAGATATTGGGGAAAATGCTATATTCAGTTTCACATGTAAGTTACATCAAATAGATGTTTTGAGGCTACAAAATTCTTCTATTCCTACCTATTTAACAAGATGTATATGATCTTGTAATTTTATTCAATTTCCTATGATACCAGTAGTTATCTCACACTGGATTGATATATTTTAAAATGTATGATTAATATGATTCAATCACAAGATAGAGAAAAGACTCAGGCTTATACTGTGGTAAAGAAGTAAAGATAAAAGTAAAAAGAAAAGAATATTATTATAACTTTTTCTATTTTCCAAAATTTTTCTACTTTTAAAGCAAACTAAATATGTCCTGAGAAGGACTCCATATTTCTTTTTTTTTTTTTTTATTATTATACTTTAAGTTTTAGGGTACATGTGCACATTGTGCAGGTTAGTTACATATGTATACATGTGCCATGCTGGTGTGCTGCACCCACTAACTCGTCATCTAGCATTATGTATATCTCCCAATGCTATCCCTCCCCCCTCCCCCCACCCCACCACTGTCCCCAGAGTGTGATATTCCCCTTCCTGTGTCCATGTGATCTCATTGTTCAATTCCCACCTATGAGTGAGAATATGCGGTGTTTGGTTTTTTGTTCTTGTGATAGTTTACTGAGAATGATGATTTCCAATTTCATCCATGTCCCTACAAAGGACATGAACTCATCATTTTTTATGGCTGCAGAGTATTCCATGGTGTATATGTGCCACATTTTCTTAATCCAGTCTATCATTGTTGGACATTTGGGTTGGTTCCAAGTCTTTGCTATTGTGAATAATGCCACAATAAACATACGTGTGCATGTGTCTTTATAGCAGCATGATTTATAGTCCTTTGGGTATATACCCAGTAATGGGATGGCTGAGTCAAATGGTGTTTCTAGCTCTAGATCCCTGAGGAATCGCCACACTGTCTTCCACAACGGTTGAACTAGTTTACAATCCCACCAACAGTGTAGAAGTGTTCCTATTTCTCCACATCCTCTCCAGCACCTGTTGTTTCCTGACTTTTTAATGATTGCCATTCTAACTGGTGTGAGATGGTATCTCATTGTGGTTTTGATTTGCATTTCTCTGATGGCCAGTGATGATGAGCATTTTTTCATGTGTTTTTTGGCTGCATAAATGTCTTCTTTTGAGAAGTGTCTGTTCATGTCCTTTGCCCACTTTTTGATGGGGTTGTTTGTTTTTTTCTTGTAAATTTGTTGGAGTTCATTGTAGATTCTGGATATTAGCCCTTTGTCAGATGAGGAGGTTGCGAAAATTTTCTCCCATTTTGTAGGTTGCCTGTTCACTCTGATGGTAGTTTCTTTTGCTGTGCAGAAGCTCTTTAGTTTAATTAGATCCCATTTGTCAATTTTGGCTTTTGTTGCCATTGCTTTTGGTGTTTTGGACATGAAGTCCTTGCCCATGCCTATGTCCTGAATGGTAATGCCTAGGTTTTCTTCTAGGGTTTTTATGGTTTTAGGTCTAACATTTAAGTCTTTAATCCATCTTGAATTGATTTTTGTATAAGGTGTAAGGAAGGGATCCAGTTTCAGCTTTCTACATATGGCTAGCCAGTTTTCCCAGCACCATTTATTAAATAGGGAATCCTTTCCCCATTGCTTGTTTTTCTCAGGTTTGTCAAAGATCAGATAGTTGTAGATATGCGGCGTTATTTCTGAGGGCTCTGTTCTGTTCCATTGATCTATATCTCTGTTTTGGTACCAGTACCATGCTGTTTTGGTTACTGTAGCCTTGTAGTATAGTTTGAAGTCAGGTAGTGTGATGCCTCCAGCTTTGTTCTTTTGGCTTAGGATTGCCTTGGCGATGCGGGCTCTTTTTTGGTTCCATATGAACTTTAAAGTAGTTTTTTCCAATTGTGTGAAGAAAGTCATTGGTAGCTTGATGGGGATGGCATTGAATCTGTAAATTACCTTGGGCAGTATGGCCATTTTCACAATATTGATTCTTCCTACCCATGAGCATGGAATGTTCTTCCATTTGTTTGTATCCTCTTTTATTTCCTTGAGCAGTGGTTTGTAGTTCTCCTTGAAGAGGTCCTTCACATCCCTTGTAAGCTGGATTCCTAGGTATTTTATTATCTTTGAAGCAGTTGTGAATGGGAGTTCACTCATGATTTGGCTCTGTTTGTCTGTTGTTGGTGTATAAGAATGCTTGTGATTTTTGTACATTGATTTTGTATCCTGAGACTTTGCTGAAGTGCTTATCAGCTTAAGGAGATTTTGGGCTGAGACAATGGGGTTTTCTAGATATACAATCATGTCGTCTGCAAACAGGGACAATTTGACTTCCTCTTTTCCTAATTGAATACCCTTTATTTCCTTCTCCTGCCTAATTGCCCTGGCCAGAACTTCCAACACTATGTTGAATACGAGTGGTGAGAGAGGGCATCCCTGTCTTGTGCCAGTTTTCAAAGGGAATGCTTCCAGTTTTTGCCCCTTCAGTACGATATTAGCTGTGGGTTTGTCATAGATAGCTCTTATTATTTTGAAATACGTCCCATCAATACCTAATCTATTGAGAGTTTTTAGCATGAAGGGTTGTTGAATTTTGTCAAAGGCTTTTTCTGCATCTATTGAGATAATCATGTGGTTTTTGTCTTTGTTTCTGTTTATATGCTGGATTACATTTATTGATTTGCGTATATTGAACCAGCCTTGCATCCCAGGGATGAAGCCCACTTGATCATGGTGGATAAGCTTTTTGATATGCTGCTGGATTCGTTTTGCCAATATTTTATTGAGGATTTTTGCATCAATGTTCATCAAGGATATTGGTCTAAAATTCTCTTTTTTGGTTGTGTCTCTGCCCGGCTTTGGTATCAGAATAATGCTGGCCTCATAAAATGAGTTAGGGAGGATTCCCTCTTTTTCTATTGATTGGAATAGTTTCAGAAGGAATGGTACCAGTTCCTCCTTGTACCTCTGGTAGAATTCGGCTGTGAATCCATCTGGTCCTGGACTCTTTTTGGTTGGTAAGCTATTGATTATTGCCACAATTTCAGCTCCTGTTATTGGTCTATTCAGAGATTCAACTTCTTCCTGGTTTAGTCTTGGGAGAGTGTATGTGTCGAGGAATTTATCCATTTCTTCTAGATTTTCTAGTTTATTTGCATAGAGGTGTTTGTAGTATTCTCTGATGGTAGTTTGTATTTCTGTGGGATCGGTGGTGATATCCCCTTTATCATTTTTTATTGTGTCTATTTGATTCTTCTCTCTTTTCTTCTTTATTAGTCTTGCTAGCATTCTATCAATTTTGTTGATCCTTTCAAAAAACCAGCTCCTGGATTCATTAATTTTTTGAAGGGTTTTTTGTGTCTCTATTTCCTTCAGTTCTGCTCTGATTTTAGTTACTTCTTGCCTTCTGCTAGCTTTTGAATGTGTTTGCTCTTGCTTTTCCAGTTCTTTTAATTGTGATGTTAGGGTGTCAATTTTGGATCTTTCCTGCTTTCTCTTGTGGGCATTTAGTGCTATAAATTTCCCTCTACACACTGCTTTGAATGCATCCCAGAGATTCTGGTATGTTGTGTCTTTGTTCTTGTTGGTTTCAAAGAACATCTTTATTTCTGCCTTCATTTTGTTATGTATCCAGTAGTCATTCAGGAGCAGGTTGTTCAGTTTCCATGTAGTTGAGCGGTTTTGAGTGAGATTCTTAATCCTGAGTTCTAGTTTGATTGCACTGTGGTCTGAGAGATAGTTTGTTATAATCTCTGTTCTTTTACATTTGCTGAGGAGAGCTTTACTTCCAACTATGTGGTCAATTTTGGAATAGGTGTGGTGTGGTGCTGAAAAAAATGTATATTCTGTTGATTTGTGGTGCAGAGTTCTGTAGATGTCTATTAGGTCCACTTGGTGCAGAGCTGAGTTCAATTCCTGGGTATCCTTGTTGACTTTCTGTCTCCTTGATCTGTCTAATGTTGACAGTGGGGTGTTAAAGTCTCCCATTATTAATGTGTGGGAGTCTAAGTCTCTTTGTAGGTCACTCAGGACTTGCTTTATGAATCTGGGTGCTCCTGTATTGGGTGCATATATATTTAGGATAGTTAGCTCTTCTTGTTGAATTGATCCCTTTACCATTATGTAATGGCCTTCTTTGTCTCTTTTGATCTTTGTTGGTTTAAAGTCTGTTTTATCAGAGACTAGGATTGCAACCCCTGCCTTTTTTTGTTTTCTATTTGCTTGGTAGATCTTCCTCCATCCTTTTATTTTGAGTCTATGTGTGTGTCTGCACGTGAGATGGGTTTCCTGAATACAGCACACTGATGGGTCTTGACTCTTTATCCAATTTGCCAGTCTGTGTCTTTTAATTGGAGCATTTAGTCCATTGACATTTAAAGTTAATATTGTTATGTGTGAATTTGATCCTGTCATTATGATGTTAGCTGGTGATTTTGCTCGTTAGTTGATGCAGTTTCTTCCTAGTCTTCATGGTCTTTACATTTTGGCATGATTTTGCAGTGGCTGGAACCGGTTGTTCCTTTCCATGTTTAGCGCTTCCTTCAGGAGCTCTTTTAGGGCAGGTCTGGTGGTGACAAAATCTCTCAGCATTTGTTTGTCTGTAAAGTATTTTATTTCTCCTTCACTTATGAAGCTTAGTTTGGCTGGATATGAAATTCTGGGTTGAAAATTCTTTTCTTTAAGAATGTTCAATATTGGCCCCCACTCTCTTCTGGCTTGTAGGATTTCTGCTGAGAGATCTGCTGTTAGTCTGATGGGCTTCCCTTTGAGGGTAACCCGACCTTTCTCTCTGGCTTCCCTTAACATTTTTTCCTTCATTTCAACTTTGGTGAATCTGACAATTATGTGTCTTGGAGTTGCTCTTCTCGAGGAGTATCTTTGTGGCGTTCTCTGTATTTCCTGAATCTGAACGTTGGCCTGCCTTGCTAGATTGGGGAAGTTCTCCTGGATAATATCCTGCACAGTGTTTTCCAATTTGGTTCCATTCTCCCCATCACTTTCAGGTACACCAATCAGACGTAGATTTGGTCTTTTCACATAGTCCCATATTTCTTGGAGGCTTTGCTCATTTCTTTTTATTCTTTTTTCTCTAAACTTCCCTTCTCGCTTCATTTCATTCATTTCATCTTCCATTGCTGATACCCTTTCTTCCAGTTGATCGCATCGGCTCCTGAGACTTCTGCATTCTTCACGTAGTTCTCGAGCCTTGGTTTTCAGCTCCATCAGCTCCTTTAAGCACTTCTCTCTATTGGTTATTCTAGTTATACATTCTTCTAAATTTTTTTCAAAGTTTTCAACTTCTTTGCCTTTGGTTTGAATGTCCTCCCGTAGCTCAGAGTAATTTGATCGTCTGAAGCCTTCTTCTCTCAGCTCGTCAAAGTCATTCTCCATCCAGCTTTGTTCCATTGCTGGTGAGGAAGTGCGTTCCTTTGGAGGAGGAGAGGCACTCTGATTTTTAGAGTTTCCAGTTTTTCTGTTCTGTTTTTTCCCCATCTTTGTGGTTTTATCTACTTTTGGTCTTTGATGATGGTGATGTACAGATGGATTTTTGGTGTGGATGTCCTTTCTGTTTGTTAGTTTTCCTTCTAACAGACAGGACCCTCAGCTGCAGGTCTGTTGGAATACCCTGCCGTGTGAGGTGTCAGTGTGCCCCTGCTGGGGGGTGCCTCCCAGTTAGGCTGCGCGGGGGTCAGGGACTCACTTGAGGAGGCAGTCTGCCCGTTCTCAGATCTCCAGCTGCGTGCTGGGAGAACCACTGCTCTCTTTAAAGCTGTCAGACAGGGACATTTAAGTCTGCAGAGGTTACTGCTGTCTTTTTGTTTGTCTGTGCCCTGCCCGGAGAGGTGGAGCTTACAGAGGCAGGCAGGCCTCCTTGAGCTGTGGTGGGCTCCACCCAGTTCGAGCTTCCCAGCTGCTGTGTTTACCTAAGCAAGCCTGGGCAATGGTGGGCGCCCCTCCCCCAGCCTCGCTGCCGCCTTGCAGTTTGATCTCAGACTGCTGTGCTAGCAATCAGCGAGACTCCGTGGGCGTAGGACCCTCCGAGCCAGGTGTGGGATATAATCTCGTGGTGCGCCGTTTTTTAAGCCGGTCTGAAAAGCGCAATATTCGGGTGGGAGTGACCCGATTTTCCAGGTGCGTCCGTCACCCCTTTCTTTGACTCGGAAAGGGAACTCCCTGACCCCTTGCGCTTCCCAGGTGAGGCAATGCCTTGCCCTGCTTCGGCTCGCACACGGTGGGCGCACCCACTGACCTGCGCCCACTGTCTGGCACTCCCTAGTGAGATGAACCCGGTACCTCAGATGGAAATGCAGAAATCACCCGTCTTCTGCGTCGCTCACGCTGGGAGCTGTAGACCGGAGCTGTTCCTATTTGGCCATCTTGGCTCCTCCCTCCAGGACTCTATACTTCTATATTTGAGTCCTTGTGGACGAACCATAACCTAAATTAATAGGCCGATAAAATTGAAAACCTAACTTAATAGTGTGCACCTGTAAGAAAAGCTGAGTTTTGGCCAATTCCAGCAGCCATACTTCAACCACTCATGGACTGCTGAATGTTCAAACTGCATTCAAATAAGGCTAACGCCGAGCTGTAACCAGTATCGCCGTTTCTGTACCTCACTTCCAATTCCTGTATGTCAATTTACCTTTTTGTCTGTACATTTCTTCTGACCATGATCCACCCCTGTAGTCTCTCTGAATCTTCTGTGATTCTGGAGGCTGCCTGATTCGCGAATTGTTTCTTTTTTTGCTCAATTAAACTCCATCAAAATTAACTCGTCTAAAGTTTTCTTTTAACACTACCTTCTAATATGCTTAATCAAAACTTGGATTTACCTTCATGTGTTCAAGGCATTGTACTGAGTATCTTGTAATGCACGTAATACAAACTCAGGTTGTGCCCATAGTATATGAACATTTATAAAGCAGTTAATAAAATAAATGAGATGTCTAAATATTTCCTCTTAATTTTGATATATTTCTGTTTATTGCTCCTTTATATCCCCACCCACTTCCCTACTTCATTGACTTTCTGCAGAGAATATAAAGGATAGAACTAGTGCTTTTTATTCCATTCAAAAAGCTGCTAGATTCCACCTCTGGGGGCAAGGTATAGCAGAACAAAAGGCAGCAGACAGCTTCTACAGACTTAAACGTCCCTGTCTGACAGCTCTGAAGATGGCAGTGGTCCTCCCAGCACTGTGTTCGATCTCCAAGAATGGCCAGACTGACTCCTCAAGCAGGTCACTGACCCCCGTGTAGCCTGACTGGGAGACAACTCCCAGAAAGGGCCAACAGACACCTCAAACAGGCGGGTGCCCCTCTGAGACAAAGCTTCCAGAGGAAAGATCAGGCAGCAATATTTGCTGTTCTGCAGACTCCCCTGGTGATACCCAGGCAAACAGGGTCTAGAGTGGACTTCCAGCAAACTCCAACAGACCTGCAGCTGAGGGACCTAACTGTTAGAAGAAAAACTAACAAACAGAAAGGAATAGCATCAACATCAACAAAAAAGGGCATCCATACCAAAACCCCATCCATAGGTCATCAACATCAAAGACCAAAGGGAGATAAACCACAAAGATGGGGAGAAACCACAGCAGAAAAGCTGAAAATTCCAAAAGCCAGAGAATCTCTTTTCCTCCAAAGGATCGCAGCTCCTCACCAGCAAGGGAATAAAACTCGATGGAGAATGAGTTTGATGAGTTGACAGAAGTAGGCTTCAGAAGGTCGGAAATAACAAACTTCTCCGAGCTAAAGGGGCATGTTCTAACCCATCGCAAGGAAGCTAAAAGCCTTGAAAAAAAGGTTAAATGAATGGCTAACTAGAATAAACAGTGTAGAGAAGACCTTAAATGACCTGATGGAGCTGAAAACCACAGCACAAGAACTTCGTGTTGCATGCACAAGCTTCAATAGCAGATTCGATCAAGTGGAAGAAAGGATATCAGTGATTGAAGATCAAATTAATGAAATAAAGTGAGAAGATAAGAGAAAAAAGTGAAAAGAAATGAACAAAGCCTCCAAGAAATATGGGACTATGTAAAAAGACCAAATGTACATTTGATTGGTGTACCAGAAAGTGACGGGGAAAAAGGAACCAAGTTGGAAAATACTCTTCAGGATATTATCCAGGAGAACTTCCCCAACCTAGCAAGGCAGGCCAACATTCAAATTCAGGAAATACAGCAAACACCACAAACATACTCCTCAAGAAGGGCAACCCCAAGACACATGACTGTCAGATTCACCAAGGTTGAAATGAAGGAAAAAATGTTAAGGGCAGCCAGAGAGAAAGGTCTGGTTACCCACAAAGGGAAGCCCGTCAGACTAACAGTGGATCTCTCGGCAGAAACCCTACAAGCCAGAAGAGAGTGGGAGCCAATATTCAACATTCTTAAAGAAAAGAATTTTCAACCCAGAATCTCATATCCAGCCAAACTAAGCTTCATAAGTGAAAGAGAAATAAAATCCTTTACAGACAAGCAAATGCTGAGAGATTTTGTCACCACCAGGCCTGCCTTACAAGAGCTCCTGAAGGAAGCACTAAACATGAAAAGGAACAATCAGTACCAGCCACTGCAAAAATATGCCAAATTGTAAAGACCATCAACGCTATGAAGAAACTGCATCAATTAATGGGCAAAATAACCAGCTAACATCATAATGACAGGAACAAATTCAAACATAACAATACTAACCTTAAATGTAAACAGGCTAAATGCCCCAATTAAAAGACACAGACTGGCAAATTTGATAGAGTCAAGACACGTCACTGTGCTGTATTCAGGAGACCAATCTCACATGCACAGATGCACATAGGCTCAAAATAAAGAGATGGAGAAAGATCTACCAAGCAAATGGAAAGCAAAAAATAAGCAGGAGTTGCAATCCTAGTCTCTGATAAAACAGACTTTAAACCAGCAAAGATCAACAGACACTAGAAGGCCATTACATAATGGTAAAGGGATCGATTCAAGAAGAAGAGCTAACTATCGTAAATATATATGCACCCAATACAGGAGCACCCAGATTCATAAAGCAAGTCCTTACAGCCCTACAAAGAGACTTAGACTCCCACACAATAATAATGGGAGACTTTAACACCCCATTGTCAATATTAGACAGATCAATGAGACAGAAGATTAACAAGGATATCCAGAACTTGAACTCACCTCTGCACCAAGCAGACCTAATAGACATCTACAGAACTCTTCTTCTGTATACATTCTTCTCAGCACCGCATGCACTTATTCTAAAACTGACCACACAATTGGAAGTAAAACACTCCTCAGCAAATGTAAAAGAACAGAAATCACAACAAGCTGTCTTTCAGTGCAATCAAATTACAACTCAAGATTAAGAAACTCACTCAAAGCCACACAACTACATGGAAAGTGAACAACCTGCTCTTGAATGACTACTGGGTAAATAACAAATGAAGGCAGAAATAAAGATGTTCTTTGAAACCAATGAGAACAAAGACAGACGTACCAGAATCTCTGGGACACATTTCAAGCAGTGTGTGAGGGAAATTTATAGCACTAAATGCCCACAAGAGAAAGCAGGAAAGACCTAAAATCGACACCCTAACATCACAATTAAAAGAACTAGAGAAGCAAGAGCAAACACATTCAAAAGCTAGCAGAAGGCAAGAAATAACTAAGATCAGAGCAGAACTGAAGGAGATAGAGACACAAAAAATCCTTCAAAAAATCAATGAATCCAGGAGCTCGTTTATTGAAAAGATTGACAAAATAGACCGCTAGCAAGACTGATAAAGAAAAGAGAGAAGAATCAAACAGAAGCAATAAAAAATGATAAAGGAGATATCACCGCCGATCCCACAGAAATGCAAACTACCATCAGAGAATACCATAAACACCTCTATGCAAATAAACTAGAAAATCTAGAGGGAATGGATAAATTCCTGGACACATACAATCCCCGAAGACTAAGCCAGGAAGAAGTTGAATCTCTGAACAGACCAATAACAGGCTCTGAAATTGAGGCAATGGTTAATAGCCTACCAACCAAAAAAAGTCCAGGACCACACGGATTCACAGCCAAATTGTATTGTAGGTACAAAGAGGAGCTGGTACCATTTTCTCTGAAACTCTTCCTATCAATAGAAAAAGAGGGAATCCTCCCTAACTCATTTTATGAGGCCAGTATCATCCTGATACCAAAGTCTGGCAGACACACAACAAAAAAAGAGAACTTTAGGCCAATATCCCTGATGGACATCTATGTGAAAATCCTCAATAAAATACTGGCAAACCGAATCCAGCAGCACATCAAAAAGCCTATCCACCACGACCAAGTCAGCTTCATCCCTGGGATGCAAGGCTGGTTCAACATACACAAATCAATAAATGTAATCCATCACATACAGAACCAACGACAAAAACCACATGATTGTCTCAAAAGATGCAGAAAAGGCCTTCGATAAAATTCAACACCCATTCATGTTAAAAACTCTCAATCAACTAGGTATTGATGGAATATATCTCAAAATAATAAGAGCTATTTATGACAAACCCACAGCCAATATCATACTGAATGGGCAAAAACTGGAAGCATTCCCTTTGAAAACTGGCACAAGACAAAGATGCCCTATCTCAGCACTCCTATTCAACATAGTGTTGGAAGTTCTGGCCAGGGCAATCAGGCAAGAGAAAAAAATAAAGGGTATTCAATTAGGAAAAGAGGAAGTCAAATTGACTCTGTTTGCAGATGACATGATTGTATATTTAGAAAACCCCATCAGCTCAGCCCAAAATCTCCTTAAGCTGATAAGCAAAGTCTCAGGATACAAAATCAATGTGCAAAAATCGCAAGCATTCCTATACACCAATAATAGACAAACAGAGAGTCAAATCATGAGTGAACTCCCATTCACAATTACTACAAAGAGAATAAAATACCTAGGAATCCAACTTACAAGGGATGTGAAGGATCTCTTCAAGGAGAACTACAAACCACTGCTCAATGAAATAAAAGAGTACACAAACAAATGGAAGAACATTCCATGCTCATGGATAGGAAGAATCAATATCTTGAAAATGGCCATACTGCTCAAGGTAATTTATAGATTCAATGCCATCCCCATCAAGCTACCACTGACTTTCTTCACAGAATTGGAAAAAACTACTTTAACGTTCCTATGGAACCAAAAAAGAGCCTGCAAAGCCAAGACAATCCTAGCAAAAAGAATAAACCTGGAGGCATCACACTACCGGACTTCAAACTATACTACAAGGCTACAGTAACCAAAACAGCATGGTACTTGTACCAAAACAGAGATATAGACCAACGGAACAGAATAGAGGCCTCAGAAATAACACCACACATCTACAACCATCTGATCTTCGACAAACCTCACAAAAACAAGCAATGGGGAAAGGATCCCCTATTTAATAAATGGTGCTGGGAAAACTGGCTAGCCATATGTAGAAAGTTGAAACTGGATCCCTTCCTTACACTGTATACAAAAATTAACTCAAGATAGATTAAAGATTTAAATGTAAGACCTAACACCATAAAAACCCTAGAAGAAAACCTAGGACGTAGGCATGGGCAAGGACTTCATGACAAAAACACCAAAAGCAATGGCAACAAAAGACAAAATAGACAAATGGGATCTAATTAAACTAAGGAGCTTCTGCACAGCAAAAGAAACTATCATCAGAGTGAACAGGCAACCTACAGAATGGGAGAAAATTTTGCAATCTACCCATCTGACAAAGGGCTAATATCCAGAATCTACAAAGAACTTAAACAAATTTACAAAAAAAAAAAAAAAAAATCAAAAAGTGGGCAAAGGATATGAACAGACCCTTCTCAAAAGAAGACATTTATACAGCCAACAGACATATGAAAAAATGCTCATCATCACTGGTCATCAGAGAAATGCAAATCAAAACCACAATGAGATACCATCTCATGACAGTTTGAATGGCAATCATTAAAATGTCAGGAAACAACAGATGCTGGCGAGGCTGTGGAGAAATAGGAATGCTTTTACACTGTTGGTGGGTGTGTCAATTAGTTCAACCATTGTGGAAGACAGTGTGGTGATTCCTCAAGGATCTAGAACTAGAAAAACCATTTGACCCAGCAATCCCATTACTGGGTATATATCCAAAGGATTATAAATCATGCTGCTATAAAGACACATGCACATGTATGTTTATTGTGGCACTATTCCCAATAGCAAAACCTTGGAACCAACCCAAATGGATTAAGAAAATGTGGCACATATACACCATGGAATATTATGCAACCATAAATATGAATGAGTTCATGTCCTTTGCAGGGACAGGGATGAAGCTGGAAACCATTATTTTAAGTAAACTATCATAAGGACAGAAAACCAAACACCACATATTCTCACTCATAAGTGGAAGTTGAACAATGAGAACACTTGGACACAGGGTGGGGAACATCACACACAGAGGCCTGTCTGGGGCTGGGGGGCTGGGGGAGGGGTAGCATTAGGAGAAATGCCTAATGTAAATGACGAGTTGATGAGTGCAGCAAAGCAACATGACACATGTATACCTATGTAACAAACCTGAATGTTGTGCACATGTACCCTAGAATTTAAGGTATAATTTAAAAAAAAATGCCATCTTTTTCCCTACTCATCCTAATCACATCAGCCATGACCTGCAAAATCACAATGGAATAATCAATTTTAATCAAATTAAATATTACTTAAAGGAAGCACAAAATTGTAAACTGATAGTAGGAAATTCTATGTTATTCCAACCACCTTATGTAATTCCTAAATTATTACATAAGGCTGATCACCAATGAAAGAATGTCTAGGTACAATGATAATGTACTTTTAAAGTAATGTGACATATTTTCTAATACCTTTTTCCATATGGGGCTACATATATCCTATATCCCTGTATTACTAAATGAGGGAATGGAAGAGAGAGTTTGAGTAAATTCTCCATCTAGTCATTCTAGCATATTATAAGAATAAACACCTTAGAACCCTTTTGCAAAGTTCTATTTTCCTATAAATCTCACTTGCCACCCTTTATTGAAAAGAACATAATATAGTAAAATCTTCTTTGCTTGGATCTGAAAATACTGTTTTTTAAATAGGAAGAGCGTCCATAGAAAAAAATGTTTAAAAAGTCACCTTTTATCTTCAAGAAGAAGGAAAAAGCATATTGTATAAACTCAAAAGTATTTTCACACAGCCCCCAGAATGACTTCCAAAGGAACATAGATCCTTTCTCAAAGTTAGTTTGACAATGAGACAAAGATTTTTCTCTAAAGGTGTAAATAGTCAAACCACTACTTGAAGGAGCTATTTTTCCTAGAATAAAATTGTTAAGATCTCATCCACTTTAAGTGTGAAATCTTTGTCAACTCTTTGGAATTAGTTTTATAGCTCACAGCAAAGCTTTTAGCAGGTACAATTTGAAAAAGAAGTGAAAATTTTAAAAAATGAAACTGTAGAGGTTCTTTATATAAAACCATGGGGAACAAGAAGATCCCAAGGAAAAGGAAAAAGAAAAAAAAGCAATTGCAAAAACATGTGAATAGTAACAAATAAATAATCTTGGAGTATTCAAAAAAACAGATTTTCTATTTTGACACTAACACTAAATTACAAAACATTTCCTATTTGTTAAGGAAATTCAAGTAAAGCCTTATTCAAGTTGCTGTATAGAATAAGGGACAAGAGGAGAGGTAATTGAGGTTGGGGCAAAGTTCAATTGTCAATGGAGCTGTATACAATTTTGTTTTTCATTTACCGTGTTACAAAATCTGCTGTTCTTTGGGAATTGAAATTTTCACACTACATTACATTTTAAAACAACATCTTCTCCCTGGGTTTTCTGGATTGATGTGCTTGAGGAAGGTAAGGAGAACCCAACTATGTTAAACAAATACGTTTCATGTATTTCTCTTATCTGAGTAGGGGAACAAATAAAGTGACACAGCTAGCACCAAAGAGATAACTAAACATTTAGTCACCAGTTTGTAGCTCAACACTTTCGATTAAATGGATTATTATTGAGGCAAAGCAGCTAGCATCTTGTTAAACCAGCGTTAAGGGAGTTCCCATTCCACAAAATGTTCTGGGACATTGTGTCCCGTAGAAGAAAACAACCATGAATTTGGTAGACTTAGCTGCTTTTTGAATTTTTCAGTTAACTGGTTAATGCATATTTAGTCTCTCCTCTTAAGCATTTTCCTGGAAGTTACTTAATCTTCCCAATATTTTTGTAAAATTAGGGCAGGGTATTTTCATCTGCCCAGTTGCCTAGGTGTGCCATACTTCAGATGGGTTAGCACGGGACTCAGTTGGTATTGGTTATCACTAAAAGATAAAATATCAAAAATCATCAAAGCATCCATGATTTATAATGGGTTAAATCATAGTTTTAAGAAAAATGACAAAGGAGAAAACCATAAATATATATTGGAATTAAATAGTCTGGCCAGAAAATATAATCTCTAAAATATTAGATGAAAGCAGTATTCTATAATCTTCTTAAAGATGCCTTTAGGTTTAATTCATCTTTATGTCCCTCATAGTATCTAATGTGATAAATAACTTACATGCGGAAGACAATAAATACATGTCAAATTAATGGATGAAAGAGTTAAAGAATCGCAGTATGTTTTTAATACTCATAGGCAACAATGGTGATACCTTCTTTGATAGAAAAAATTAAAAATTATAATGAAAACAGTTGGAGAGTAAAATTCAGTAAGTGAAAAAATTACAATTTTAATTGAAAAGTGCAAAAGCTAAATATTATATTTACTGCACTCTTTATATAAAGTTCCTTGTTATTTTCAAAGCACAAATACACACAAACAAACAAGTAGCATTCAGGGAAAAAAATTTATGCAGTTGTTTTATTGACTTGTGTGTCCTGAATGTTCTTGAAAAGTGCACATACACATACACACATACATAATTTAAAGCCTATAGATCACAAATGTCATAAAGGTCACCACAGATTAAAGATGCAGCCAGAATCTGCAACTCCTTTGCTGCCATCTCATAAAGAAAAATAGTGTTTTAAAGTTTTCTTAATGAAGTTACATTTATCATTTTCCTGTTCACTTCTTTCTGTTCTCAGTATAATCCTGTCAGCTCTAGAGTTGACATCAATGAACTTGAATTTTTCTTAAGTCAGACTCCCAACTAAGTGAGATGAATGAAATCAATATTCTTCTTTTACAGGTGAAATGAGTTTGGTAACATATGTAGTACTGTACCTTCCTCCTCTTTTTTCTTCTTTGTACTGCAATCCATCAAGGTATAGCTCTTGGCACCTGAATGAACACATCTTAATACAAAATTTCAAGCAACAATTCTTTCTAAATGTAATAACATATTTCAGTCTTTGTTCTTAAAATCCCTACCTAGATCTATGTTCTTTCCTTCTCCATGATAATTTATTTCTATTATTTTTACAGCATTCTTAGTATTCACAAGCGATTAGTCAGGTCCTTGAATTCATGAAATATCTGATCTCTACATACAAAAGCCTAAATGCTATTCAATTCTGAGGACTACCTCTGAAAAAACAGGACTTTCATAAAGGGAATTTCATATTCAAGGACACCATGCTTCATGGTTTTACTTTGTAACACAAAGCACCTATTTGCCGTTATTCATGAAGCTTCTTCTATTAATTCAAGAATTCTCTCTGCAATAGATCTTATAGGTAAAAAGTAACCTTATCAGATTGCTTGGTGATGCATTTGTGAATTACAAAATGTCATGTGATTTTTTTAAGTTTTTCAATCCCATAAATCATGATTATTAGCCTATTCTAAGTACACATCCCGATTACATAATATGTTACAACATATGATGATTTAAGCAGGTGATAAAAATAATTCAATAAGGAAAATATTAATTTATGCTAAGAGGTTGCAAAGTTGTTTTTATTTTCATATATTCATATTTTTCACATTTTGAACACTGGTAAGAAAGAATTATATTGTTCAGTTTTTATCACAAGAAAACTCTAGAGGGGTGATTAGAAATTTATTATACAAACTAATAGAAGTATTTGGACTAAGGACTCAGAAATATTCTGTATGTTGGACTAGTAAATTTGGGGAAACTTAAGAAAATCAAACTGGATAAGGAGAAAGAGGCTACAGAGTTGCTAAATCATGTTACCATACAGATAGGATGAGCAAGGAACACAGAGGAGTTTCCACCAAATGAAGAGAACCTGGTTGACACACAACTTGACACCATTAATGTTACAATTGATCCTCCTTTCAACCCCATTCCCACCACAACCTTATAATAATTCCACTGTATGTGAAAATCAATGAGCAAATGGAAGTAAAGAGTAACTAGCAAGTGTTTGATGAAATCCGTGATCTAATGGGCTTGGAGGAATGGCTGGGGAGTAGCTGAGAGGGATTTGTTCAGTGGACAAAAATGTAATCAAAATGAGGAAGATCTGTGTAAATACAAAGGATTTTCTCAAGCCCGATAATCTAGGGAATACTTGCATATCTCAGATCTCTGGTATCTCTCAATGTAGCCAATGTAGATGAATCTTTGTGTACACATGTTGCCTCACCTGTTGTCCATTATTGACTGGGGAGGAAAGGACTGCCAGATGACAGAGATCTTTCTTCAGGTTTGGTGGTTCCTGTAAACAGACCTATTAAGCTGAGGGCTGCAATTGCCTGTTGTGTGGATTATTCTCCCTTGCACTAGCTGCCACCTGTAAAAGTTGAATGCACCCAGGAGATAGGATGGTATAGCAGAAAAACAATAATGAGACTAAAGGAACTTATTCCTCAAACCCTAGTGAAAGGTACCACAAAATAATCAATGGCAATAAAACAGACATTAAAGCAAACAAAAAAGCTTATCAGTACTTCTTCTCATCAGGAAGAAAAAGCATAGCTTTTGTACCATAAACTTTTAAAGTTGTAACCCAGAGAGAAGAGATAGAAGACTCAAGGAATTAATTCTATGCAAATAAATTTTAAAATGTGGTATAAATGGATTACTTTTTGAAAAGAAATAAAACACAAACATTGGCACCTGCTTCTAAATAATGTTTCAGACTGCTTGCTAGCTACAAGAGCAGCAGGAAGTTGGTTTCTCTCTCCTCTATTCTGCCATCTAAATCTCTTACAGTTATATCAATTTTCCAAAAAAATAATTTAAATCCAGAAGCCTAAATACAAGGGAGACTGGTAACATAATTTTAGGTTTTCCAATCTCTTAATCTCAAAGAAAAGTGGAAGCCAATCAATGTGGCTCCAGAGCCCAAGCTCTACTGCCCCCGAAGCTTGGGAGCTGCTATTAACATTAAAAGAAAACAGGGCTTTTTTTTACTTTTCACCTTTAACCACATAAATATGGTTCCAATTATCTAAATCAAAATGAGATATTTTACCAACTATATTAATTGTCAAATATATAAAAATTAGGGAACATGATATACAAAATGTAATTAATATTCATTTTATGTAATATATTAATAAACATGCAGTAAATATTTTACATCATTAATTATTTGATATCATTTTGTTTTGTGGAGCAGTGATCAGAAAGACACCTACACCTACAGATTCTCCCAGGAAACAACAATATCTTCACCCCATCCCCCACTAGATATAATAATTTTTTCAATAATTGCTTGCATCTTGTAAGATAGCAGACACACAGCCAGATTTCTGCAACAGTCAAATGGCTGAGGTTGCATAATGGGGTGCAAGGAGAATTTAGCTGGGGAATCCACACTCTATCAATTATCATCTTACCAATCATTGCCATGGGAACTTGGGGGTACCTGAGAACTCATAGTTCTATCCAATATTATCTCTCATTTCTTGCTTTAAACAACTTCTTAAGTTCTGTATCTTTTTCAATAAATTTCAAAATCACTTCACAATCTCTTACTATGATTACTGGCATTTTATTAATTACATTTCTGGGGGAACAATGATTCAATCTGCAAACCAATAAATGAGATCCCTCAGTCAGTAAAAAGGCCTTATTTAAGAAATAGAATGTAACTGTGTTGATTTTAATACAGTTTTCAAGGTATTTAAGAACAATACTTTCAAACTAATGACATTATTATCAATAAAATCCTACTTTTATTAAAGGAGTAGAGATAAAGATGAATGAATTAATTTGACAAACTTTTTCTAATCATCTAAAATATTTTACAATATTTAACTTCTCAGTCTAACTTTATTCTCTTTTTTCCCTCCTATTTTCTAGCCCAACTTGCCAATAGTTATAACTTGATTCCAATTCTTGCTCTCCTTTTTTTCCTGCTACAGCCCAAATATAACAAGGGCATGTGTGGGTTGGATCTCGTTATGCAAGGATCTCATAGCAGTTGTTAAATGCAGCCTATCTCTCTTTGAGGGACTTAATTATTCAACAGTTATTTCTACTGATTATGAACCTGAAGATACCGACAGATTGGTTGGCAAGGCGGCGGAAGTGGGGGAACATTAGTTATCTGAAATAAGCCTCCTAGCATTCTCTAGGATCAAAATGGAACCTAAATTTTCTCCCACTGCTGACTTCATCCTATTGCTGCATGACATTAATGTCTCTGCTTGGCTGACTGCCCTTTTCTCTTCCAAAGAATCCTTCTAACATTTGAACAACAGATTAAATATTTTTGCTACTGCCAGCCAAATATAACTGCACCAACTTATGGTTACTCAACCTGAAGGTCTCCTCTACCCTGGGTAGGAAGCTGGGTGCCACATAGGAGCCATAAATAAAAGGAACATATAGAATACTGTAGGTACAGAATAGGAGGCACATAGTTTCTTTTTGCCTATTGTTTCTCCAAATGCCAAAATAATAGATTGGAAAATAAGGAGCTTACTAGATACTAGAAAATCACAATAGTATCCTCCAAATTTGCATAAAGAAAGAAAGCACAGACTCAATCCTTGTGTAGTCTTGATTCTTTCTCCCAAATGAGATATACATAGACAGAAATTTATAGTATTTTAGGAAGATTAATTGCATTGTATTATGAGCCATTTATCGTGCAGCATTCACTGACCTTAATATTATCAGATATTTACTAAGAATATGGAACGTTCTTCCTTAAGAACAGACTGCACATACACATACAAATAAATAACCAACCATATGTCAGTAATGCCCAAATCATAAACTGCCCACACATTTTATAATAGCTTTCACAACTGTGTATCTAACCTGTTAAAAGTTGACATGGTGCATTAGACAACATAAATTCTAATAAATCCTTTCTACTTTAGGCTACCCTTCTTTTCTTACTGTTTCACACCAAACAATTTTCCCTAAAAGAGTACTTGCTGTATCATTTCCCTAAACACCTACTCACTGCTCAGCCTACACCAATTTGTTTTCAGACCCCCATTACTTTATCATTGACCTCTTTCACTCCATCAGTGAATTTTATGATTTGACTTTTCAGCAGGATTTAATATTGTTCATCCATTCTACATTCCTAAATATTATTTTTTGTCTGTGTCCATGTCACTTCACTCTTTTTTTTCTTTCATCTCTATTTTTTTCCCAGTCCCCATCACCCTCTGCTACCTGAACTCTAAATCCCAGATTAGACCTGAAGTTCTTATTCTTCTAAGCAGCCTCATCTACTGCCTTCATTCAACTTTAATTATCTTCTAAAATACCATAACGAACAAACAAATATCCCCTACACTGACTCTCCTCTCAACACCTGGCCTATATACTCTATTGCCTACTTCACATTTTTGCTTCAGTGTCTCAAAGTCTCAGCAGGTCTGTAGCAGATGTCTGGTGTTTGGATGTGTCTCTTTAAATTTTCTGAGTTGATTGTAACCTGTGGACAGTGGTACACACTAACAACCTCCTGTGGCTCTGTGCCTGAGGAAATAGAAAGTTAACCTTCACAGAGAGCCTTTTTTCTCACCCAAGAGATTAATCAGCAACTTTAATTGTTTTCTTCAAATCATGAAAGTAACTAGTCTTGGGTCATTCTCTTGATCTTTATTATTTTATTTTATTTTTTTTTGAAATGGAGTTTTGCTCTTGTTGCCCAGTCTGGAGTGCAATGGCGTGGTCTCGGCTCACCGCAACCTCCACCTCCCGGGTTCAAGTGATTCTCCTGCCTCAGCCTCCCAAGTACCTGGATTACAGGCATGCACCACCTGCTAATTTTTTTTTTTTTTTTTTAAGTAGAGACGGGGTTTCTCCATGTTGGTCAGGCTGGTCTCGAACTCCCAACCTCAGGTGATCCACCCACACGCCTTAGCCTCCCAAAGCATTGGGAGTACAGGCATGAGCCACCACGCCTGGCTAATCTTTTCTTTCAATTCTATGTACGTTGCTAGGCAAGATTATAAGTTTAAAAACTTCTTGATATTTTGATCTATACCTTCTCCTTTCAACCATGATTCTTGTCTATTCTGCTCATTCCCAAAAATCGCTATGGCTTTCACTTCCATCTTGCCCTTAGAAAAAAGTTCTTAACTTCATGATAATGTTCACTACTAAAATTTTCACCAAATATTTAATCAAAATTAAAAGTTCCATCATACATAATATGACTACAAAGGATACTATGGTGTAGTGACCTCAAAACATTTTGACTGTAACTATCAACAAGTTTGTTTGAGACTGTTTCCCATACATATATATGGGAAAGAATTATATATATACACACAGTTGTTGGTTAATTATATCCAAGCATTAAAATATTGTATTCTAAATGGCCATACTGCCCAAGTTAATTTATAGATTCAAAGCCATCCCCATAAAGCTACCAATGACTTTCTTCACAGAATTGGAAAAAACTACTTTAAAGTTCATATGGAACCAAAAAAGAGCCCGCATTGCCAAGACAATCTAAAGCAAAAAGAATAAAGCTGGAGGCATCATGCTACCTGACTTTAAACTATACTACAAGGCTACAGTAACCAAAACAGCATGGTACTGGTACCAAAACAGAGATGTAGACCAATGGAACAGAACAGAGCCCTCAGAAATACCACCACACATCTACAACCATCTGATCTTTGGCAAACCTGACACAAACAAGAAATGGGGAAATGATTCCCTATTTAATAAATGGTGCTGGGAAAACTGGCTAGCCATAATGTAGAAAGCTGAAACTGCATGCCTTCCTTACATCTTATACAAAAATTAATTCAAGATGGATTAAAGATTTAAATGTTAGACCTAAAACCATAAAAACCCTAGAAGAAAACCTAGGCAATACCATTCAGGACATAGGCATGGGAAAGGACTTCATGACTAAAACACCAAAAGCAATGGCAACAAAAGCCAAAATTGACAAATGGGATCTAATTAAACTAAAGAGCTTCTGCACAGCAAAAGAAACTACCATCAGAGTGAACAGGCAACCTACAGAATGGGAGAAAATTTTTGTAATCTACCCATCTGACAAAGGGCTAATATCCAGAATCTAGAAAGAACTTAAACAAATTTACAAGAAAAATCAAACAACCCCATCAAAAAGTGATCAAAGGATATGAACAGACCCTTCTCAAAAGAAGACATTTATGCAGCCAACAGATACGTGAAAAAATGCTCATCATCACTGGCCATCAGAGAAATGCAAATCAAAACCACAATGAGATATCATCTCACACCAGTTAGAATGGCAATCATTAAAAAGTCAGGAAACAACAGGTGCTGGAGAGGATGTGGAGAAATAGGAACACTTTTACAATGTTGGTGGGACTGTAAACTAGTTCAACCATTGTGGAAGTCAGTGTGGCGATTCCTCAAGGATCTAGAACTAGAAATACCATTTGACCCAGCAATCCCATTACTGGGTATATACCCAAAGGATTATAAATCATGCTACTATAAAGACACATGCACATGTATATTTATTGAGGCACTATTCACAATAGCAAAGACTTGGAACCAACCCAAATGTCCAACAACGATAGACTGGATTAAGAAAATGTGGCACATACACACCATAGAATACTATGCAGCCATAAAAAGGATGAGTTGACGTCCTTTGTAGGGACATGGATGAAGCTGGAAACCATCATTCCGAGCAAACTATCGCAAGGACAGAAAACCAAACACCACATGTTCTCACTCATAGGTGGGAAATGAACAATGAGAACACTTGGACACAGGGCGGGGAACATCACACACTAGGGCCTGTCGTGGGGTGGGGGAAGGGGGGAGGGATAGCATTAAGAGAAATACCTAATGTAAATGACAAGTTAATGGGTGCAGCACACCAACATGGCACATGTATACATATGTAACGAACCTGCACATTGTGCACATGTACCCTAGAACTTAAAGTATAATAATAAATAATAAAAAATACATATTCAGTAGGTAAAAATACAAAAAATTACACATTTTTAAAAATAAAAGATGAAATAAAAATATTTTAAAATAGGGCTCATTCTCTTTTAAAATTGCATAACAATACAAAACAACTTTTGCTCTCATTAGAATATTTTTATTTCCAGTTCTCACAGAAAACAATGTTATTGAGTCTTAAATTATTTTTGAAAATTTTATTTTAACATTTAGTTATAGAGTAATATAACCATCCACTTTATCTACAACAAATGGCCTCATAAAAACAGTCAACTCATATGTGATCCAGTTATCACTATACCCATGAGAGGATAGTGAGCAAGTTCTCAGAATTTCAGTTTATTGACAGAGCCTGCTCAGAAAACAAAATTTGAGTGCGGAGAGAGAAGTTATGGGTTGATAAGAAAACTTCCATCCTGAATTTGAGGACTGACAGGAGTGGTACAGAGCCAGAGATATGTAGTCAGAGAAGAGGCTTGCTATGTTACAGATGAGAGATGGCAAGAGCAGAAATCCAAAAGAAAAAAGAAAAAAAAAACTTAGCTTTTGAGAAAAGAAAATAGTGACAGAATTTTAGAAGAGATGGGATTGAGTTAAAAAGAGGTTTTCCTTATGGGTTGGCAAAACGGTAGTAGTGCCGACCATGACACTAAAGTGTAGATAAAAAGGATGATAGAGAACATATATTTATTATCATTGACAAAGAAAGGTAACCTATGCTATGAATTAATTGAAGATATATATTGCCACCTAAATAAGGTAAAAACATCATTAACAATAGTATTAAAACTTACATTCCATATAAAGAAACAAACGCAATTTATTTGGTCTAGTCAGATATGACTAAGGCTTATCATAAACTAACTCATTCAAAAGTACGTATTAAGCATCTTTCAAGCCCTTTGCTAGGAACTAGGGACACAACGAGTAATAAGATCATTCCTGCTCACATAAAAGAAGTTGAGGAGACTGGAAGTAAATGTGTGATTACAGAGGAGTGAGATGAGTGCTAAAATAAATAAACATAGCATGTTGTTAGAACACAACACAAGGACCAAACCCATGTTGGAGATGTTAGAAAGGTCAGACTGAAAACTCAGTGTATTAATCTGTTTTTATGCTGCTGATAAAGACCTAATACCCGAGACTGGGTAATTTATAAAGAAAAAGAGATTTAATGGACTCACAGTCCCAAGTGGCTGGGGAGGCCTCACAATCACAGTGGAAGGTGAAAGGCATGTCTTACACAATGGCAGACGAAAGGAAAATGAGAGCCATTATAAAATAATAGGAATTGTTTTATAAAATTGCTGCATGAAATAGGTAAACAGAATGGCTAATGAAATAGAAAATAACTTCTAATAGCACAGTCAATGCCAGAGACCATGAATTTCTTGTAATGAAAATTGCATTATTGTGTCATTTTTTAGCAGTCATTAGAAGGTCATAAGTAGGACTAGAAAAGAAAATTTTTTCCGAGGAGATAGAAGAAGAATAAAAGGGAGCAAGTATTTTGTTGGTATTGGCAAGAGAATTATTAAGGATATGGACCATAGGTCTATGCTGAAGAAGGGAGAAAGTGAGAAGGGTTCTGATAGCCAGGAGACAGTAGGGGAACCAACATCTCAAAAGGTTTGAGTAGGTTTTTGTAGTAGAAATAATAAATGATAATACATTTGCTGACCACTTAGTATATTCCAGTGGCTCTGCACTTACTCATAGCTAGTTCTGCTAGTCGTGAGTCTAAACTGACCAAAGGGGAAAAGTCACCTGCAACCTTCCAAAATGAACACATAAAATAATACATGCTGAATATCATGCATAGATGCAGTTGTATGTCATATGTTCTAGCTAAGTAACTCATGTTTTTCTCTCCTGGATCAGAAGAGAGATAGTATAGGACACTAAAGTGAGCTTTAATATTTAATCTAAAAAAGATAGGAATGTGTATTTCTTTATATTAGATGCAATCAAAAGTTTAAAGAACCTGAAGCAAATGTGTAGTAGGCTTATAACTGGACTACGTACCTTAACTACTACTTAGAAAACTAAAGCCTAATTTAATTAAGTAAGCTACTAAGGATCTGTTTAAAAAATTCAAAATTTAAATCCAAACCCAGGTCTGACTAATTTAAAAGTTTGCATTCTTAAGCGTGACACACTCTCCTTCTGTGTGAGAGAGTTGAAAGTATAGATATTTGTAGATATAGAGTATTTTATGACAGGAACTTAGAAGTGACATAATTATGGATAAGGAAAATTTCCAAGGTAGATCTTAGGAGTGCATAGCTGAAGTGGAGTTAAGGGACAGTTAACTGACATGCCTATAGTGCCTTAAGCATTGGATATTGATCTTATGTTAGAGGATGGCAGAAGACGGTTCAGAGGGAAAAACTGTAGATAAATACCAAAGTCTTTAATGAGTGACCAAGAATGATCAAGAGGTCAGAAGATGTTATTAAAGCAATGAGATGTGTAGTTAACATATATATATATACACACACACACACACATATGTATATATACACACACACGCACACATATATATATATATATGGCTCCAAGAAAATTAAATGACAGAAGCTGGATTTGGAGAGTGGTGAGGATGCCTACCCTGCTCCCAATATTGAGTATTCTGGCTTGTAAGATAATGAATAACATTAATTAAAAGACCTACGAGGCAGTTTCTTTGAAACTATCTAAGATTCAGAGAAAACGGTGAGATTTAGAGAAGGATTTAAGAATTTTGTACCACAGAATAAGAATTTCAAAAGGCAAAAGAAAGAGTTTTAGGAAAATAGAACTATGGAAGTTGGTTCAGGAGAAAAGAAAGTGGTTGCAGTACAGAATATTGATTACTGAAAAAGCTAGAGTTTGGTGTAATAACTAAAGACAACAGGTATCTGAGGCATAAAAGGTTGTTGACCCCAGCAAACTTTCCCCAAACAAAAGACCCAACAGTTTCCTGGAGCATGGGCAGGACTTGTTCTTTTTGGGAGGAATCAGTCATCATAGATTAACTTCCAAGACAATCCAGCAGATGTCAGCAAGCACAGAATAGGATGTGTCCCCAGGGGTCCCACAGTCCTAGAACCCCTAGTAATCTGTTGGAGCAGAACTGACTCAAAATTACAAAAAAAAAAAAAAAAAAGAAAAAAAAAGCTACTTTCAAGATTTTCTCACTAATATCAAAGACCTAAAAAGTTGCTTCTTCAAAATTTTTAGAGCTCTAATTTTAAAATTGTTTTTTAAAATTATAATTTATCTACAAAAACAGTTACCTTTAAGAAAAAATGGGTTATATTTAAATATTAGAATTTTGTTAGGGCACACCTACAAGCTGCACATTAATGAACTTAAAAATTACTCATTTTTTTCTAGTTTTAAATCAAGTTTGAATAATTTCAAGGTCAGTAAATTATATTTATCTGTCGTAGAAGAGTCAAAAATGCTCTCAGTATTACATTAAATAATATAATCTTAAATTACTATCACCAGAAAAGTATTTAACTCATACTATCAAGTAAAATTAATATGCATCACCAAATGCATTTTCATTAACTCTCTAGCTCCCTGGAGGGACACAAGGATCATCTCCATACTATTCTAGAAGTCACACAGTGGGTGTCATTTTAAATTAAGGATAATATGCATTTATGTACTACTAAGAAAGTGTAAAAAATACTGATGAAAAGTAATTATATTCTAAATGCATTTGAATTAACCCTCTATTTTTAACAAGGAACAAAAATGCAAAAATCTTATTTTATGCTTGATTGAGCACAGTTTTACACCCTGCCGTTTTGAAACTGATCTTACTTCATCCCAAATAAGTAGATTCTCTGCAGAGGGATAAATGCCTTTTATTTTTTTGAAAGGAGAACAGAGACACCTACCATAAACAAGTCCCAAACCTAGTGTTAACTGACAGGATCCAGGCCACTGTGGCTGTGAAAATGGTTATCCTACACTATTCTTTCACCTCTTCCTACATATATGGCCACCTAGAGTTAAGACTATAATTCTCAGCAGGTGTGCCTCTATATGATTAAGTTCTCCCAATGGAATGTGAAGAGAAATGATATAAGCAACTTACAGATATGTTCTTAAAGGAAGGAAAAGGTGACTCTTTCCTCCTCCTTCCACTAACTTGCTGCTTTAAACTTGGATATGATAGGGAGCCATGTTGGAACATGCAGACAAGCATAACATTCCAAGGATAGAAGAGCAACAACCAGAAGGAGCCTAAGTCCCTGGACCTCGTGGAGCAGATCTGCAATACCAGGACCTTCTGCTTATAAAGTGTTATGTGAGAATAAAACAAATTTTCCTATTGCAGATGAAACTATGTCCTAACCAAAATTGCTACCATATTCTCTAAATTCACTGTTGTATGACATTGGTGACTTATGTGCTTGGCATGAATGGTAACTTCAGAAGCAAAGCCATTTCTTTTTTTTTGTAGTTCTAGATGGTATAAAACATCCCTCTGACTTACTAAGGGAGAAGTAGTGTATAAAATACCCATTACCTCTATACAGAACAACTCTAGAATAAAGCAAATCCAAATAAATGACCCAGTCCCTAAATTTGGAAGAATGTTATATAATTTTCATCTTCACAATAAACACATTTTTGGTATGAGCAAATTCTTTCAGGCATCAAAAACTATCATCTATCAAATCAGGTAGTATGTCAGAGATTGTTAATATTCAATAAATAGGAGGATTCTTCCAAAATGGTGGTGTAAAAGCAATCTGGCTTCCCTCCCCCACCCCTATATAATTAAAAACAAATATAGAGCACTGAGATTATCACCTGCAATATTCCAGAATTCAAACATGAGGATGAGAGAGTTCCCAAGGCCACAAAGAAGTGAAAATACTTAGAGCATACGATAAGATAATTGGACTTTCATATTTACAATGTACTTCCTCTGAACCTTTTTGGCACCAAGTACATAAAAAATTCCCCCATGACTCATGGTTTCTGCACTGGAAAAAATGAGATTTCGGTGAACAACCAGCCTCCTTGGGTTCCCTGCTTCAACCTAAAGGAAGCATCATGAGTGCCTAAAGGGAGAAATATCCCTGAGGACATCCAGAGACAAAAGGGGGAAGTGAGACTACTATCCCCAGCCCTGGAAACTCTGTTCTGTAACTCAGCCAAAGAGGGTGCCAAATCAGAGTGGCTGTTCAGAAGGGTCATGCTGTAAGGGGTACATTCCATAGGTCCCTTGGGCAGAAATACCTTGGCATCCTTCCTACACTGTTGGAAGGACCTTTAGGACCTCCCCCATTTGAGATGGGCAGCACTCTGATAATTTACTAGAGCCATAGCAAACCTAAGCTTAAAGCATCATCTAGTGTCAAAAAGGAGGGAGAGATCTAGCTGGGGTGAGGGGGAGGAACACAGAAATTCAACAGATAGGTAATAAAGTTTCTCTATGCGAAACATCCAATAAAAAACAAAACATAGCAGACAGAGAAGACTAAAATAGGTAACTAATTCTTTGATGCAAAGACACAGATGTACATTCACGAAAAATAACAGCAGAGAATGGACAAAACAAGGAAGCAGTGACTGACCCCAATGAGATGGTAATGTGTGAGCTATCTGATCAAGAATTCAAAATAGCAGTTTCAAGGAAACTCAGTGATTTCCAAGACAACACAAAAAAGTAATTTAGAAATTTATTAGAGAAATTTAACAAAGAGATTGAAATAATTTTTGAAAATCAAAGAGAAATCTTGGAACTGAGAAATACATTTGCTGCACTTCTTTAGAGAGTCTCAGCTGCAGAATGGATCAAGCAGAGGAAAGAATCAGTGAGATCAAAGACAGGCTATTGGAAAATACACAGGAGAAAAAAATAATGAAAAGAAAAATCACCTACAAGACATAGAAAATTACTACCTCAGAAAGCCAATTCTAAGAATTACTGGTCTTCCAGAAGCAGTTGAGCAAGAACAAGGGGTAGAAAGCTTATTCAAAAAATAATAATAGAACGCTTTCTAAAACTTAGGAAACAGATAAATATCCAGGTACAGGAAGATCAGAGAATACCAAATGGATTCTAGCCAAATAAGACTACCACAAGGTATATAATAAACTCTCAAAGTTCAAGAAACAAGAAAGGATCCTGAAAGCAGCAAGAGAAAAGAAGCAAATAACATACAAAGGAGCTCCAATTCATCTGGCAACAGACATCTCAATGAAAACCATACAGGCCAAGAGGGAATAATAATGACATTTTCAAAAAGTGCTGAAAGAAGAAAAAAAGTGCCATATAAAAATACTGTGCCCAGCAAAGCTATCCCTCCAACAAAAGCTGAGAAAATTCACCACCATGAGACCCATCTTAAAAGGAAGTTCTTAAGTATGAAAGAAAAAAAAGCCCACCAATGTGCAAAAACAAAATAAAACTAGTTGGAAGTCTAAAACTCACTGGTAAAACTAATCATAGACAAACCGAGGATACTCGAATACTGTAATTTTGGTGTTCAACCCACTATTATAAAGCCTAAAAAAAAACTATCTAAAACAATCATAGCTAATGCAACCTATTAAAAGGTAAACAATATAAAGATGCACACATTGAGAAAACAAAAACCTAAAATGGTAGGGAGGATAGAGTTAACATGTAAAGATGGTTTTGGTTCTATTTTTAGTTTTTTCTTTGTTTGTGTCAAATCTTTCCTTTGTGATCTAAAATAAGTTTTTATGTATTTAAAAGAACTTGTTATATCTATACAATGTTTTTGTAAGCCTCATGGTAACTGCTATGCAAAAACCTAAAACAGATACATTAAAAGCAACAAATTAAAAATACTACCAGAGAAAATTGCTTAACAACAAAGACAATAAGAAAGGAAGAAAGGAAGAGATGAGTTACAAAACAACCTGAAAGCAAGCAACAAAACTGTAGTAGTGAGTCCTTACTGATCATTATTAACACGGAGTATAAATGGACTAAATTCTCCAATTAAAGGACATAAAGTGCCTGAATGGATAAAGAAGCATGAACCAACTCCATGCTGCCTACAAGAAACTCATTTCACCTATAAAGACACACACAGACTGAAAGGGAAGAGATGGAAAAAGATATTCCATGTAAGTGAAAATCAAAAATGAGCAGGAGACGTTACACATCAGATGATAAAATACACTACAAGTCAAGGACTATAAAAAGAGACAAAAAGGGTCACTATATAATGATAAAGGAGTAATTCAGCAAGAAGATATAACAATTAAAAACATCTCCACTGGCTGGGGGTGGTGGCTGATGCCTGTAATCCCAGCACTTTGGGAGGCTGAAGTGATTGGATCACTTGAGTCCAGGAGTTTGAGACCAGCCTGGCCAATATGGAGAACCCCTGTCTCTACTAAAAATACAAAAAGTTAGCCGAGTGTGGTGGTGTATGCCTGTATCCCAGCTATTCAAGAGGCTGAGGTGGCAGAATCACCTGAACCCAGGAGGGAGAGGTTGTAGTGAGCCAAGATCATGCCACTGTACTCCAACGTGGGTGACAATGCAAGATCCTGTCTCAAAAAACACAAACAAAAACAAAACACATCTCCACACCTAACACCAGAACACCCAAGCATATAAGGCAAACATTAATCTAATGGGAAAGATAGATTGCAGTACAATAATAATGGGGAACTTCAATACTCTACTCTCGGTAACAGATGGATCATCCAGACAAAAAAAAATCAGCAAATAAACACTGGAGTTATATTACACACCAGATGAAATAGACCTGACATTTTCAGAACATTTCACCCAACTGCTGCAGATCACATGTTCTTTTCATAAGCCTATAGAATATTCTCCAGAATAGACCATTTCTAAGGCCACAGAAGAGTCTCAACAAATTCAAAAAAGTAGAAATTACATCAAGTTTCTTTTCCAACCATAATGGAGTAAAATTAGTTATCAGTAACAAAAGAACTAATATCACTGACAAACATAGATGGAAAAATCCTCAACAAAATACTAACAAACTGATTTCAACAACGCATTTAAAAGATTATTCCCATGATCAAGGGGAATTCATACCAGGGATGCAAGGATGGCTCAAAATATGAAAATCAGATTAACAGAACCAAGAATAAAAACTGTACGATTATTTCAATAGAAGCTGAAAAAGCATTCAAAAATTTAACATTCCTTTATGATAAAAACCTCAACATACTGAGTATAGAAGGAACATACCTCAAAATAATAGGGGCCATGTTTGACAAACACACAGCTAACATCATATTGAACAGGAAAAGACTGAAAGTCTTTCCTCTAAGATCTGGAGCAAGACAAAGATGCCCACTTTCACCGCTTTTATTCAACATAATACTGGAAGTCCTGGCCAGAACAGTTAGGCAAGGAAAAGAAATAAAGACCATTTAAATTGTAAAGCAATAAGTAAAATTAACTTTATTAGTACATGACATGATCGAATATTTAGAAAAACATAGATTCTACGAAAAAAACTGTTAGAACTGATAAATAAACACAGTAAAATTCCAAAATACAACTCAACATACAAAAAGTCAGTAACATTTATATATGCAAATAGTGAACAATATGAAAGACAAATTAAAAAACCATTTATAATAGCTACAAAGAATATAAAATACCTAGAAATTAATTTAACCAAAGAAGTGAAAGATCAGTACAAGAATAACTATAAAACATTGATGAAATAAATTGAAGAGGACACATTGAAAGATATTCCATGCTCATGGATTGCAAGAACTAATATTCTTAAAACGCCAACACTACCCAAAATACTTCCCAGGAAAAAATGGAGTGGGGCAAGTGTTGAAAAACTACCTGTTGGGTGCTACATTCACTATTTGGGTAACAGGTTCAATCGAAGCCCAAACGGCAGCATCACACAATATATCCATGTAACAAACCTGCACATGAGCCCTCTGAATCTTAAAAAAAAAATATGTATACAGAATAAAATATTATTCAGCCTTTAAAAAGATTCAATGCAATCCTTATAATAATACCAATGAAATTTTCCATAGACAAAAAAAAAATCCTAAAATTTATATGGAACCACAAAACATGCAGAATAGCCAAAAAAAAAAAAAAAAAAAAAACTGTGAGCAAAAAGAACAGAGCTGGAGGCATTACACTGTCTCACTTCAAAATATACTAGAAAGCTATAACAACCAAATTAGCATGGTACTGGCATAAAAACAAACACACGGATCAATAGAAAAAAATAGGTAACACAGATATAAATCCATGCATTTACAGCCAATTCATTTTCAACAAAGGGGCCAAGAACATACAATGGGGAAAGAATAATCTTCAATAAATGGTGCTGGGAAAACTAAATAACCATATGCAGAAGAATAAAACTAGACCCCTATCTCTCACCATATACAAAAATTAACTCAACCTATACAATCGTAGAAGAAAACCTAGGAAATACTCTTCTGGTCATTAGCCCCGGCAGAAAAAAAGTATGACTAAGACCTCAAAAGCACATTCAACAAAAATGAAAACTGAAAATTGTGACCTAATTAAACTAAAAGCCTTCTACATAGCAAAATAAACTATGAATAGAGTAAAAAGACAACCTATATAATGGGAGAAAAATGTTTGCAAACTGCATATGGCAAAGGGCTAATATCCAGAATCTAGAAGGATCTTAAATCAACAAGCAAAAAACAAGTTGTTAAAGTGCGTAAAGGACAAGAACAGACACTTCTCAAGAGAAGACATGCAAGTGGCCAACAAACCTATCAAAAAATGCTCAACATCATTAATCATCTTAGAAATGCAAATTAAAACAACAGTGAAATACCATCTTATGCCATCTAAACTGGCTATTACTAAAAAGTAAAAAAAAAAAAACAAACAGATGTTGGCAAGGTTGCAGAGAAAAGGGAATGCTAATACACTTTTGGTGGGAGTGTAAATCAGTTCAGCCACTGTGGAAAGCAGTTTGAAGATTTCTCAAAGAACTTAAAATGTAACTACCATTTGGCCCAGCAATCCCATTGTTGGGTATATACTCAAAGGAAAATAAATTATTCTGTCAAAAAGACACCTGCATGGGTATGTTTATTCTAACACTATTTACAATGGCAAAGAAATAAAATCAACTTAGGTCCCCAACGATGGTGGATTGGATAAAGAAAATGTGGTACATATACATCCTGAAATACTACACAGCCATTAAAACGAATGAAATTATGTTTTCCAGCAATATGGATGCGGCTGGAGCCATTATCCTAAGTGAATTAATGCACAAACAGAAAATGAAATGCCACATGTTCTCATTTGGAATAACGGATACTAGGGACCCCAAAAGAGAGGAAAGAGGGAGTGGGGCAAGCGTGCCACAGCATCATGCAATATATCCATGTAACAAACCTGCACATGAGCCCTCTGAATCTTAAAAAAAATAATAACATGTATACACAATGAAATGTTATTCAGCTATTAAAAAGAATAAAATACTGTCATGTCCAGCAATATGAATGGAAGTGGAGGTAATTAAGTGAAATAAGCTAAGCACAGAAAGACAAATGTCACATGTTCTCACTCATATATGGGAGCCAAAAAAAAAAAATAGGCTTCATAAAGACAGAAAGTAGATTGGTGGTTGCCAAAGGTTGGGAAATATAGGCGGGACAGAGGAAGGAAGACAGGTTTACTAATAAGTACAAATATACAGTTAGATAGAAGAAATAAGACCTTAGTCTTTGACAGATCAATAGGATGACTGTAGTTAACAATAATCTATTGCACATTTCAAAATATTTAGAAGGGAATAATTCAAATGTTTCTAGCATAAAGAAAAAGTTAATGTTTAAAGAGACGGATATGTCAATTACCCAAATTTGAGTTGCACACATTACATGAATATAACAAAACATGTACCCCCAAAATATGTACATCTATTATGTATCAATACAAAATTAATATAAAGAATTCAACAAATATGTATGTGTTTTTCCCTTTCCCAGCCACCCTTGCAGCTAGGTTTAAGACACGTGACTGGGTGTTGGAAAAAGCGTTCCCTTTTCCTCTGCCGTGGCAGGTTTGGAAGGCACAAGTTCTAAATAATTCATCTGTAAAATGGAGAAGGCCAATCACAGTGGATGCTGTAGTATGTCCCCAAGATTCCCTTGTTAGTGTTGGTGATAGCTTTCAGCTGAGTTGCTCCCTCAGCATTTCTCTTAGCAGAACAGAGCTGCTTTCCCAAGTATTACTCTTCCCCAAGGTTAGCAAACATCCAACAACTGGTCAAAGTAAAGGTATACAAGCCTAGACCCTTTTTTCCTGAAGTCAGATAACCCATATCATATGGAAGGAAGAGACTTAATCCTTTACCTCGTTTACAGTGAAAATTCCAACCAGTCACTAAGCTTAGGTGATTGGTACTCTAATCTCTCTCTCTCTCTCTCTCTCTCCAGCACCCCCTCTGTGTGTGTGTGTGTGTGTGTGTGTGTGTGTGTGTGTGTGTGTGTGTTGTGTGGGTGTGTATAACAGATGACTATGGCTATTACAACTGCATATATATATATATATATACACACACACATATATACATACATATATACACACACATGTATATACACGTTGATGTTTTGTGATACACACACACACACACACACACATATGTATATATGTATGGCTATTGTGAATAGCGTACTAGATATTTTTCTTGGACCTGGAATGTCAGGTTTTCTTTGCATATAGTCTACATGAAGTAGTTGGGGTGGGGACTTAAAAAGGGAGGAGAATAGAGAGCATTATATTATTGTGAAAGCATTACAGGATACAGAGACATATCAAAAGTAGACTCTCAATTAGGGAAAAAGCAAAAGGATACGTCAACCAGTTAAATACATTTCCTTAAAACTTTTTCTTTGTTAAACCAAAATAAAATGAAAATGATTGGCATTAGATATCAATCAGATTATAGTAGACATCAGTTATAATTGATAACTGTCAGAAATTAACATAATTATTTGTATTATGTAAATATCTTTTTGTTATTTGCTTTCAGAATATCTCACAAGTGTTTCTTCAGTTGAAATTTATGCATTTATACCAAAAATAGCGAAGGTGACTTAAAGTTATAATTTCTTCATACTAACTTTATGGTTCTTGCGTAAAATCTTCATATCCTATTTCTTCAAAGATGGAAAAAAGATTATGAAAGGCAACCAGTGAACTTTAAGATAATCCATGATCCTTCTGTACATGACAGTGTCATTTTTCACACAGTGTAATAATGTGTGAATTCTGCATTATTCTTTTCATCACAAGTTTGTAATCGTTTCTCTGGAAAACAACAGCATAACTCATATTTTGCTACTAATGCTGTGAATGCATGGGATGACTGAAAGAAATGTTTTGGTGAAAAATATAGTTTGTGGCATTCATGTACTCAACCAACATTAAAACTGTTTGAAGGATAAATAAAGGTTTGGGGAATAGTCACTTTTATAAGCTGTACATGTTTGATTGAATGATTCTGACATGCAGGGCTCTGAGTGAGTTGTGAGTCCCAGGGGAACAGCATGAGTTTTTTAAGCTGGGTGTTTAAACGTAAGTGATGTACAGTATTTATAACCACATAAATTCCTGTTATAAGAAGCGGCTCCAATGAGACTTACTCAAAGTGATAATATTTCATATAAGACAATATAAAATGTTTGAAAGGAGTTGGAATCAAAAGCTGAGCCAGAGAAAGTTTTTCTGAATTATCAGTTAGAAAATCAGAAGAATAAAAAAAAAGCGAATGGGAATAAAAATTAAAGAGAAGATGAAGAAGAAAAAGAGAAAAGAACTGATACCCAAAAGCGGTTCAGTAAACGTTTGGTGAATTAACATGCTAAATCAGGGAGCGGGGGGAGCAAGAAACAGATCTGCCTCACAATTTAGCTGGAGTCAGTGGCCAAAATGACCTCCTTCGACTCATAGGATTCTGCCTTTCTACCCTGTACACAAATCTTTAGTTGTATATTGAGCCATTACCCAAATTTTTACCATTTTCCAGATCACTCACCCACAGCCTATACCTGATTCTGGAAGACCATAGAGATCATAATTACTGGAAAGTACCTTAAGTCCTGTTTTCTTCATCCTGAGATAATGGTCATTCTAACTTTTATCACCATTGATTAATTTAGCCTGTTCCTGAATTTCACATAAATAAAATAATAAGTATATGTTACATAGTATCTGGTGGGTTTTTTTCCCTTTCTCATCGTGTTGTTTTTGAAGTTCATCCAGCAGCAGCATTGCTGGTGCTCCATCTTTTAAGAGATGACTATGGCTATTACAACTGCTAACAACTTTTCCCTTCTCTAGAGGATTCGATTTGGCATCTCATAGGTAGGGCAACCTGGGGTCGGTGTTTGACTAATGCAGGGTTCAAAAGGCCAGCCTTCTTGCCTCAATTTGTGAATAACTCTGTGGTGTGAATCCCCTCTACAAAAATAAGTCAAGGCTATGCTTTATTCTTGCTCAGCTTTTTCCCCTTTGCTTTTTTGCTTCTCTCGCTTTTTTATAGTTTCCTTGAGAAAAGCCTTCCCTCAGAAAATAGTGTATAACTGACTTTCTGTCTCACATTTTGCTTCTAAGGTTGAGTCAGTCTCACATAATTGGTAACGGGGATGGTTCAAGGAAGCTGGCTGCATGGAGATTCCAAGATGGATTATCCACACGTCACTGGTAATCCCTGGCATGCTATAGGGGTGTAATTGTTCATACATTTACCTGGGGTAAATGAAACCAGGAATATGTTGAAGAGGGTGCACTGGCTTATACAGCATCTGGCATTTCAAAGGTATAGGGGAAATAGCACTTATAAGGATTGTCCAATGGGATGGGTGTTCCTGATTACCAGTAATACTTTGAAGAGAGAAAATAAGAGTCCGGCCGATCAATCGCCAACTTAAAGAAAAGTATAAAAGCCAGAGATCTTCTTTGCCAGGTTTTAAAGAAGCTCTTACCTTCTGTATCTGGAGAGGTGATTGTACTGAGAAACAGACTCAGAACTTAATATTAAGAGTAGGGGAACTTCAAAAAAAGTTGAATTCTCAGTACTGGCAAAACTTTTATGCTATAGACAGAATTTTAATAAGGAAGAAGTAGATCTCGGAGACTTGAACTGGAAATATTTGGGTAGATGCACTTGAGGACCCTTGATCCATAGGGACTACAGCAATAGCTCACACTCCTAGTTAGAGTATAGTTATTTAAATTTTAATGGGAATGATTCTGTAGCAGGGAAGATGTTGAAGTTACAGAAGAGAAACAAGATGACCACTAGATATGTCTATTAAACTATAAAACAATAAGATTTTAATGGTCATAGTAATGAAAGGAAGATTGCTGACTAGGCTTGCTTGGTATTGAGGAGAGTCTAGATGAAATTGAAGACCATACACACCTGCACATCTTGCACATGTACTCCTGAACTTAAAATAAAAGTTGGGGGGAAAAAAGTTGAAGAGCATGAATTTATAGTAGCAAAATCATTACACCTGTACTCAGAACTTGAAATTAAGTGCCAAAAAAGTGGATGATTGGATTTACCCAGTTTGGGGATTTTTCTAGACTGTTGAAATCAGAAATACAATAAGGAAATATTGCAGAGAATATAAGTGACTGTGATGAGGGTATAGGGTGCAAGGAAGATAGGGAGAGATATATGGGTAAAGAGAAGGCTAGAAGGTTTGCTGATTATAATTAAATGAGAATATCTGAATTTGTCAGTTAAGCAATAAAAGAGTTTTCCAATATGAAGATCTACGGTATAGCCCATTGGAATGATGACTGACATTACACCATGTCACTGAAGGACAAGGCCAATAAGGACTGGATATCAGAACATGCCCACAGATATAGAGACTATTATTTCCAGATTACAAATCATGCCATTATATGGTACACTCCCTTTAGCAATTGACCAGGAGACTGGTCACTGACATATACCCCCTCATTTGCTGAAGAGTTTTAATACCTGGATCACACATTGCTCTTCAATCCAAGACTTTCTATCAATGCTCTCAGGTATTTAGGGGTAAAGTGCAAAATTTCTGAAAACTATTCTCAAATTAAAACAAAGATAACAAAATTTTAAGAATCTGTTAACATTCCTAAAGGTTATATGGCTACTATTCTACTATTTTTGAAGCTTTTCTAACAGTTTGAAATTATGAACATTCAAATAATTAGTTAAATATACATGTGTTATAGCATTAAAATAAAAGGGCTTACTAATGAGTCTGTTACCTGCTAAACAAGATTAATTAATTCTAATATAACATACAGCAATAATCATAACCTTACTCAAGCAGCATCTGTGCATATGAATGTGCCTCATAATGCAATTAAACTGCTTTTGCAAATATTTTAATGCAAATAAAACAATCTGTTTCACCTGACATAGCTGTGGTTTTGTATGATATCTGCACTTCTCAAGTACAATATTTGATATCTCGCTTTCATGTAATATACTGTTACAAAATCTGTCTTTTATGCCATAGATCTTAGTTGAGAAGCTACCTCCACACAACAAAAATGGAAAACTTCAGGCCAATATCCTTGAGGAACATAGATTTTAAAAATCTTCAACAAAACACTAGCAAACTGAATTAAGCAGCACACCAAACAGCTAACCCATCACAATCAAGTAGTCTTTATTCCTGGGATGCAAGGTTAGTTCAATATATGCAATTCAATAAATGTGATTCATCACATAAACAGAACTAAAAACAAAAACTTCATGATTATCTCAACAGATGCAGAAAAAGCTTTCAATAAATTCAACATTCCTTCATGTTAAAAACACTCAACACACTAGGCATTGAAGGAACATACTTCAAAATAATAAGAGCTATCTATGAAAAACTCACAGCCAATATCATGCTTAATGGGCAAAAGCTGGAAGCATTTTCCTTGAAAACTGGCTCAAGACCAGGCTGCCCTCTCTCAACACTCCTATTCAGCATAGTATTGGAAGTCCGGGCCAGAGCAATTAGGCAAGAAAAAGAAATAAAAGGTATTCAAATAGAAAGAGAGGAAGTCAAACTACCCCTATTTGTAGATGCCATGATTCTATATCTAGAAAACCCCGCAGTCTCTTCCCAAAAGATCCTTGAGCTGATAAACAACTTCAGCAAAGTTTCAGGATACAAAATCATCATACAGAAATCACTAGCATTCCTATACACCAATAACATCCAAGCCAAGAGCCAACTGAGGAATGCAATCCTATTCATGCTTGCCACAAAAAGAATGAAATACCTAGGAATACAGCTAATCAAGGAGGTGAGAGATCTCTCTATAATGGGAATTACAAAACACTGCTCAAATGAATCAGAGGTGACACAAACAATTGGAAAAACATTCCATGCTCATGAATAGGAAGAATAAATATCATTAAAATGGCCATATTGCCCAAAGCAATTAACAGATTCAGTATTATTACTATCAAACTACCAATGACATTCTCCAAAGAATTAGAAAAAAATTACAATTCTTATGGAACCATAAAAGAGCTCGAATGGCCAAAGAAATTCTTAGCAAAAAGAACAGAGCTGAGAGCATCACATTACCTGACTCCAAACTATGCTACAGGGCTACAGTAACCAAAATAGCATGGAGGTATAAAAACAGACACAGAGACCAATGGAACAGAATAGAGAGCCCAAAAATAATGCCATACCCCTACAACTATCTGATCTTCAGCAAAGCTGACAAAAACAAGCAAAGCAATGGGGAAAAGGCTCCCCATTCAATAAATGGTGCTGGGATTACTGGCTAGCCATAAGCAGAAAAATAACACTGGACTCCTACCTTACGCCACATAAAAAAATCAACTCAAGATGAATTAAAGACTTAAATATAAAACCTAATACTATACAAATCCTGGAAAATAACCTAGGAAATAACACTTTGGACCTAGAACTTGGCAAAGGTTTTATGATGAAGATGCCAAAAACAATTACAACCAAAGCAAAAATTGACAAATGGGATCTAATTAAACCAAAGAGCTTCTGCACAGCAAAAGGAACTATCAAAAGAGTAAACAGACAAGCTATAGAATGGGAGAATATATTTGTAAATTATGCATCTGACAAAGGCCTAATAGCCAGAATCTAAAAGGAACTTAAAGAAATTTACAAGCAAAAAACAATCCCATTAAAAAGTGGGCAGAGGACATGAAGAGACGCTTTTCAAAAGAAGACATACATGGGCCAGGTGCAGTGGCTCATGCCTGTAATCCCCACACTTTGGGAGGCCACAGCGGGAGGATTACTTGGGTCCAGGAGTTGAAGACAAGCCTGGGCAACATGACAATACCCCTTCTCTACAAAAAAATACAAAAAATAGCTAGGTGTGGTGACATGTTCTTGTGGTTCCAGCTTCTCAGGGCGCAGAGGCCAGAGGATCACTTAAGCCCTGGAGGCAGACGATGCAGTAAGCCTATGATGACACCACTGCACTCCAGCATGGGCAACAGAGTAAGTAAGACCCCGGCTCAAAAAAAAAAAAAAAAACATACGAGTGGCCAAGAAACAAATGAAAGAATGCTCAATATCACTATGCATTAGGGAAATGCAAATCAAAATCACAATGAGATCCAGTCAGAATGACTGAATGAGAAGCATTCACACCAGTCAGAATGAGATCCATTCATACCAGTCAGAATGGCTAATATTAAGAAGTAAAAAAATAGCAGATGCTGGCAAAGTTGCAAAGAAAAGGGAATGTTTGTACACTGCACTGCTGGTGGGAGTGTAAATTAGTTCAGCCATTGTGGAAAGCAGTGTGACAATTTCTCAGAGAATTTAGAACTACCATTTGACCCAGCAATCCTATTACTGGGTATATACCCACAGGAATATAAAGCATTGTGCCATAAAGACACATGCACATGTATGTTTATTGCTGCACTATTCACAATAGCAAAGACATGGAATGTCCATCAACAGTAGTCTGGATAAAGAAAATGTGACATATATACACCATGGAATATTATGCAGCCATAGAAGAGAATGAAATCATGTTGTTTGCAGCAACATGGATGGGAGACCATGGTCCTAAGCAAACTAATGCAGGAACAGAAAACCAAATCTGCATGTTCTCCCTTATAAGTGGGAGCTAAACAATGAGAACACATGGACACTAAGAGGAGAACAACAGACACCAGGGCCTACTTGAGAGTGGAGGGTAGGAGGGGCACAGGATCAGAAAAAAACACCTATTGGGTACTTTGCTGATTACCTGGATGACAAAATAATCTGTACACCAAACCCCTGTGGCATAAGCTTATTTATATAACAAACCTGCACATGTACCCCTGAACTTAAAATAAACATTAAAATAAAAGCTGTCTCCAAATGCACATTCAAGTTTTTAGAGGTAGTAAAATAATGTAGTAGAACACTAAATTTAACCTCTACAAATCTGGATTAAATTTTGGACCTGCTACATACAAGTTATGTTACTTTGGACAAATTATACAATAACTGTGGCCTCCATGCCCCATCTAGAAAATGAGGACAACAATAAATCTTTCATCTTTATTGTTGATATTAGAGCTATTGTACACAAAGCATTTTCACAGTTGTTCCTCAATACATACTAAATATTTTACTAAAGTGGGAAAATTGTTGAAAGATACACTACTGTCATTTAAAATGATTGAGAAATGAGACATTTGAGTAAATCATATATTTTGAGTTACAAAGCATTATCACATATATATTACATCCTTACCAGTTTCCAAGGAATGACAAAGATACACATTTAATACTCAAATTCCATTGAAGTAAATTTTATGCTACCTTAGTGATAAAGCATCACATCAGTTCCTGCATGTGAATCACACATACCAGACATCACATGAAAGGTGTATTCAGGAACTTTTCTGCTCATGAATAAAGTTGATACATGTCATTTACTAAAAATTAATAGCTGTTAGAATGCAAGCAACCTGGCTTTTACTATAATTATGAAAACAGAGACTATGACTAATTTGTAAAAAATAAGTATGTTTAAGTAAATAAATAACCTTTGAAGAAAAATAATTAATGTACGGGGAAAAGACTTAGAGATGTTCAGCAAATGTGTGCTGATCTTACAATGTAAGTTCCTCTAAAAGAGAGGTTTTGTTCCTCTAGTTCACTGCTTAGAACAGTGGATACATACTGGATGCTTAATACATCTTTATTCAAGAAATGATTGATAGAATGAGTATACTAACATATGCTTAGCGTACTTCCATACTTTTAACTCTCCTTCTGCAAGAATACCTACATTAAATGTATCTCGTCTAGTCTTGGTTGGTGGTATACTTGCCAATGAATTTAAAAGACTGTGCATTTTTCAGCATGTTTTGTATCTATGTATGTTTACATAAGCTGCAATACTTATTATCTCAAATTAGGTATTGTTTCACAGTCTGTAGCAGCATGAAATGGAAGATGATCTCTTTTATAAAATTCTGGATATGTTCCAAGAAAATGCTTAGAAAATAACAGCAGACAAATTAACAAGCTCATAATGGGAGGTAATTCTGATCATCTTCATCGCATTCCTCTTTATCACAACAGAACGGAAATGAAATACCTACGATCTTGAAAACAGACGGCTTTGGGCGAATGCCTTCTTGAGTTAATTAGAAGAATCCACTTGTTCAACATACCACATTGACAAGAAGCAGTCAGCCCTTGCTTTAGAATCCAAGGGAAATGCTCCAGGGAAATGCTGCAATACAACAGTGTGTACCCCAGTTAGAAAGCTAGTTGTCAGATTTCTCACCTGAAATGGTTAAGTCTGGATTTGCTTCATAATATGCCCCCTTTTATATAAATTTCACAACACTAAAAGGGGGATATTCTTATCTTCATTTTTCGGATGAAGTAACTGTGTCTCAGAGAGCTATATAAATTTCCTACGAACACACAGATCAGATAACAACTAGTGGATCTAGAATTCAAAACAGGTCTGCCACCTATGAAATCCATGCACCTAAACCTATACTATTCAGCCTCCTGTTTCAGAATTAAATAAAATATAATTTTGCTTTTCCATATTCCGATTGTGCATTCCAACTCATTATGTCTAAGTACTTTCTATGAGCATTTCCATAAAGCAGTAGGAATTCTCACTCCTTAGGAAAGTACAGCTTCCCATCAGACGTTTCAAGAGAATAATGACTTACCTAATTAGTGACATTATGAGAGAAAGCTGAAAAAAAACCTGGTCAGCCTTGGACTCTTGTTTGAACCATCCTGCCTTCAGCATGTTTGCATTCCCTACTCATCAGTGTGGAATAGACAAAGAAAGGTTAAAAAGCAATAAAGCACACCTACAAAATCTAGAAAATAGCCTCAAAAGGGCAAATGTAAAATTTATTGGACTTAAAAAGGAGGTAGACAAAAAGATAGGGGTAGAAAGTTTATTCAAAGGGATAATATCAGAGAACTTCCAAACCTAGAGAAAGATATCAACATTCTAGTACATGAAGATTATGAAACACCAAGCAAATTTAACCCACAGAAGACTACCTCAGGCATTTAATACTCAAAGTCCCAAAGGTCAAGGATAAAGAAAAGATCCTAAAAGCAACAAGAGAAAAGAAACAAATAACATACAATGGAGCTCCAATACGTCTGGCAGCAGACCTTCCAGTGGAGAACTTACAGGCCGGGAGAGAGTGTCATCACATATTTAAAGGGCTGAAAGAAAAAATATTTTACCCTAGAGTAGTATAATTAGAGAGAATATCTTTTAAGCATGAAGAAGAAATAAAGACCTTCCCAGATGAACAAAAGCTGAGAGATTTCATCAACACTAGACCTGTCCTACAAGAAATGCTAAAGGGAGTTCTTCAATCTGACAGAAAAGGATGTTAATAAGCAAGAAGAAATAATCTGAAAGTATAAACCTAGAGATTTTTCTCTAGGTTTGGAAGATCTATTTATAAGATCCATTTTCTAGATCTTATAAGCACACAGAGAAACACAGAATAGTGTAACATTGTAATTGTGGTGTGTAAACTTCTCTTGAGTTAAAGGAAGATTAAATGATGACTTTGATTGAGAGTTTGATGATTAAATGCCTTGAGGTAGTCTTTGGATTAAATCTGGTTGGTGTACCACAACCTTCTTGTACTTGAATGTTGATATCTTTCTCTAGGTTTAGAAGTTCTCTGATATTATCCCCTTGATAAACATTCTACCCCTATCTCTTTGTCTACCTCCTCTTTAAGGCCAATGAATCTCAGATTTGCCCTTTTGAAACTGTTTTCTAGGTCTTGTAACCACACAGAAAAACACAGAATAGTATAACATTGTAATTGTGGTGTGTAAACTTCTCTTCACTTACATAGAAAGACTAAATGGTGAATCAATCAAAAATAATAACTACAACAACTTTTCAAGACATAGTACAATAAGACATAAAGAGTGTGATGGTTAATATTAAATGTCAACTTGATTGGAATGAAGGATGCAAACTATTATTCCTGGGTGTCTCCGTGAGAGTGTTGCCAAAGGAGATTAGCATTTGAGTCAGTGGACTGGGAGAGGCAAACCCACCCTCAATCTAGGTGGGCACCATCTAATCAGCTGCCAGCAAAGCTAGAATAAAAGCAGGCAGAGGAATGTGGAAGGACTAGACTGGCTGAGTCTTGTGGCCTTCATCTTTCTCCTGTGCTGGATGCTTCTCAAGGATCTAAGGAAGGTCTAAAGGTGTAAAAGATCTAAGACTTTCAAACAAGTCTTAAAACATTCAAAATAAAATTGAAATACTATTAAGCATCTTCTATGACAATAGAATAAAACTGCAAATCAATAACAAAAGCAATTTTGGAAACTACACAAACATATGACAATTAAACAATATACTCATGAATGACCAGTGGGTCAATGAAGAAATTAAGAAGAAAGTTGAAAAATGTCTTGAAACAAATGATTATGGAAACACAACATAACAAAACCTATGAGTTATAGCAAAAGCAGTACTAAGAGGGAAATTTATAGCCATAATTGCCTACAACAAAAAATAATTTAAAAAACTTCAAATAGATTGCTCAATAAAGCATTTTTAAAAACTAGAAAAGCAAGAGCAAACTGAACCCACAATTAGCAGACGAAAAGAAATACTAAAGATCAAAGAAGAAATAAGTGAATTTAAGACAAAGAAAACAATGAAACAAATGTTGCCTTTATTTGAAACCAAGTTCAAACTATTAATACAACTGACTTTGCAACTAGTCCCAGCCTCAAATTTAATTTTAAAGAGCTCTCCTTGATTAAATATTGCCTATCATAGACTATTTTACTAAATGGCTTCCTAAAACTACTCTTTTTAAAAAAATTACAATTATGTCAATGTACTACTATTTTCATTAATACAATTACACCAAATATTCAAATATACCAACCACAGAGTGCACCAAATCAAATGTTTTAAGCACCTAAATCTGCATATTATTTCTTTTTATTCTTTGAAAACATTTAATGTTCCCATATAGAGGGAAGTCAAAAGCATGGCTATTTTTACCAAAAAATGAGTTGCTGGGCTTTGAAGAAAAAGCATAGTTATTTTTATCAAAGACAAGTTGCTGGCTTCACTAACCAACAAAGCAGAAATATTATTACTAGTGAATGGGACAGTCTCCATTACAAAGAGCCAAACTGTGAGTGTCTGCAATCGTTCTTCAGCTATAACAGGCTGACTTGCTAGCAATTTGTCTGCAAGCAGTAATAAAGTGTGCAGAGTAATTAGCTTGAGTCTCTAATTAATCTGAGGATGATTTTTGTTTTTAAATTATTTAACATTAAAATTTTTATTAGATTTCAGGACCTGAAGCCCCAGGCATACATGTATAAATTTTAAAGTATCATTTGTCTCAAGTCTTAAAAATGTCTTAATACTAAATAAATTAAATTGTAATATTTCCAGTAATTTTATTATTTTTTATTTTTTATATTTTTCCATAAGTTATTGAAGTACAGCTGGTAGTTGGTTACATAAGTAAGTTCTTTTGTGGTGATTTGTGAGATTTTCATGCACCCATTGCCCAAGCAGTATATACTCGGTATACATATTTGCAGTCTTTTATCCCTCATCCCCCACCCACTCTTCCTCCCCAAGTCCCCAAAGTCCATTGTATCATTCTTATGCCTTTGCATGCTCATAGCTACATCTCTTACATTGAACTTCAAATTCCAGAATACAATAGGACATTTAGAAAGAAGTCCTTCTATACTCCAAGGTATTTTCTAAATTTCAATGCAATATTATCTTCTAAAATTAGTTGTGTCCCTTCAAAATTCATATGTTGAAACTTAATCCCCAATGTGACAGTATTAGAAGGTGAGGTCTTTGGGAGATGGTTAAGTCATGAGGGCAGAGCCCTCATTAATATGATTAGCATCTTTACAAAAAGAGGCAGCAGAGGGCTAGCCAGCCCCTTCCGCTATGTAAGGATATAGTGAGAAGTTGTTATGTGTAAGGAATGAGACCTCACCAGACACTGAAGGTGCTGATGTCTTGCTATTGGACTTCCCAGCCTCCAGAACTGTGAGAAAAATGTTTGTTGTTTATAAGCTGTCCCATCTATGATATTACTGTTATAGCAGCCTAAACAGGCTAAGACAACTAAGTCCTCTAACCAAGAACTCTGAATACTCAGTGAGTGTTTGTGTAATTAAGGTAGGTTGAGATGTCAGAGAGGACAATGACACTGAAATACATAGTGACACAATTGAGATCAATATATCCCCTTCACAATTATTTCTGAGACTACTCCTATCAAGAAAACCATGAAATCTGGACCTATAACCCCTACGTAATCCGCTATGTCCTATTTTCTATAGGATAAATCCCACCTGAAATCATTTAAAAAACACAAATAGGAAGACTTTAAAAGAATAAAAGTTTTCCTTCTGCTATGGTTAGGCTTTGTGTCCCCATCCCAATCTCATCTTGAATTCTAATCCCCAGGTGTCAAAGGTGAAACCAGATGGGAAGTGATTGGATCATGGGGGCAGTTTCCCTGTGCTGTTCTCATGATAGTGAGTGAGTTTCACATTATCTGATGGTTTTATAAGGCAGTTTTCCTTGCTCTTGCTAGGTTTTCTCTCTCCTGCCACCATTTGAAGAAGGTCCTTGTTTCCCCTTTGTCTTCTGCCAAGATTATAAATTTCCTGAGTCCTTCACAGCCACGTGGAACTGGGAGTCAATTAAACCTTTTTCCTCTATAAATCACCAGTCTTGGATATTTCTTTATAGCAATGTGAGAATGGACTAATACAGTAAATTGATACCAAGGTAGTGGGGCACTACTATAGAGATACCTCGAAATGTGGAAGCAACTTTGGAACTAGGTGATAGACAGATGTTGGAACAGTTTGGAGGGCTCAAAAGAAGACAGAAAAGTGTGGTAAAGTTTGAAATCTCCTAGAGAATTGGAGAGCTCAGAAGACAAGAAGATGCAGGAAAATTTGAAACTTTCTAGAGGCATATTGAATGGCTTTGACCAAAATGCTGATAGTGATATGGACAATGAAGTTCAGGCTGAGGTGGTCTCAGGTGGAGAGGAGTAACTTGTTGGGAACTGGAATAAAGATGACTTTTGTTATGCTTTAGTAAAAAGACTGGTGGCAGTTTGCCCCTGCCCTAGAGATCTGTGGAAACTTGAGCTTGAGGGAGATGATTTAGGGTATCTGGCAGAAGAAATTTCTGGGAAGTAAAATGATCAAGTGGGACAGATTGTAAAAGTTTGGAAAACTTGCAGCCTGGTGATACAATAGAAAAGAAAAACCCGTTTTTGGAGGAGAAATTCTAGCCAGCTGAAGAAATTTGCATAAGTAACAAGGAGCCAAATGTTAATCACCAAGACAATGGAGAAAATGTTTCCAGGGCATGTCAGAGACCTTCACAGCAACCCCTCCCATCACAGGACAAGTGGCCTGTGAGGAAAAAATGATTTCAGGGCCCAGGGCCCTGCTGCTGCTCTGTGCAGCCTCAGGACTTGGCACCCTTCATTCCAGCAGTGGCTGAAAAAGGGCAAAATACAGCTTAGGCTGTTGCTTCAAAGGGTGCAAACCCCAAGCTTTGGTGGTTTACACATGGCATTGGGGCTGTAGGTGCACAGAAGTCAAGAATTAAGGTTTGGGAACCTCTGTCTAGATTTCAGAGGATGTATGGAAATGCTCAGATGTCCAGACAGAAGTTTGCTACAAGAGAAAAGCCCTCATGGAGAACCTTAGCTAGGACAGTGCAAAGGGGAAATGTGGGTTGGAGCCCCGACACAGAGTGCCCACTGGAGCACGGCCTAGTGGAGCTGTGAGAAGAGGGTCACTGTCCTCAGACCCCACAATGGTAGATCCACCAAAAGCTTGTGCTGTGCACATGGAAAAGCCGCAGACACTCAATGCCAGCCATAAAAACAGCTGTGGAGGGAAGCTGTACCCTGCAAAGCCAAAGGTACAGAGCTGTGCTCAAAACTGTGGGAGCCCACCCTTTGCATTATTGTGATCCGGATGTGATCACGATAATCAAAGGAGATTGTTTTGGAGCTTTAAACTTTAATGACTGCCCCCTGGGTTTCAGAATTTCATGGGGCTTCTAGCCCCTTTGTTTTGGCCAATTTCTTCCATTTGAAATGGGATCATTTATCTAATGCCTATAGCCCCATTTCATCTTGGATGTAACTAACTTGCTTTTGATTTTACAGGCTCATAGGTGGAAGGGACTTACCTTGTCTCAGATGTGACTTTGGACTTGGACTTTTGAGTTAATACTGGAATGAGTTAATACTTTGGGGGACCGTTGGAAGGTACAATTGGTTTGGAAATGTGAGGACATGAGATTTGGGAGGGTACAGGGGTGGAATAATATGGTTAGGCTTTGTGTCACCACCCAAATCTCATCTCGAATTGTAATCCCCATGTGTCAAGGTAGAAACCAGGTTGGAGGTAATTGGAAAACGGGGGTTCCCTCATGCCATTCCTATGATAGTGAGTTTTCATGAGATCTGATGGTTTTATAAGGCATTTTCCCTGCTGTTGTTATCTCTTCTCTCTGCTGCCACCATGCAAAGGAGGTCTGTTTCCCCTTTGCCTGATGGTTTCATAAGGCATTTTTCCCTGCCCTTGTTAGTTCTTCTCTCTCCTGCCACCATGCAAAGGAGGTCCCTGTTTTCCCCTTGCCTTCCACCATGATTGTAACTTTCCTAAGGCCTCCCTAGCCATGGGGAACTGTGATTGAATTAAACTTCTTTCCTTTATACACAAACCAGTCTTGGATATTTCTTTATAGCAATGTGGAAACAGACCTATACATCTTTTTTTGAAGAAGCTTGTAATTTAACTAAGCTCAAAATTATAGAAAATTTTTACAGTCAGTTTTGAATGAAAAAGATAACATCTGCCCAGTCAGCTAAATCAGCTGAATAACCCTGCCAACAACAGGACAGCAAATCTTTCATTCATTTTAAGATGACAAACTAAGGAAGGAAAAGTAACATCCCGATGCCTGTGGACATCTCACACCCATCCCCTAAACCAAGGTTAAGAGTCCAGGCCCAGGCCATACAATTCGTTTCTTTCTCAAATACACATCATCTGCAGAGGAGGATGACATTCTCAGGCAGAGTAAAGGAGTGCTCACATCCACAAAAACTGAGGCATGCAAAATATTTTCACATTATGAAACATGGCAATAAGCAGAAGAACCACACCGAAGCAAACAGGACTAATGAAACAGAAAGAACCAGAACTTTAATCAGAATTACTATCCTACTAGAGAAAGCAGAAAATCTTATATACCTTAAAGCAAGGACACAAGGTTTCAAAGAATAATTGTTTGAAGCTATTAGACATAAATAATTATTAGATGTGATACAGAATCATTGGATGGGTTGGCCAACATAACAAAAACAGTTATAACAGTCACATCACATTGAAATCCCTCATGGATAGATACCCCACCATTATCTGAAATGTAATATGTTAGAACTGATATTATCTTTTCTCTCCCAAACGCAAATGCTTTTCCAGTTTCCATGTTACTATTCAACCTAATAGGCTTCTCAAGTCCACAAGGTTTGCCACTTAGAAGTTCATGCTTTTAATTACTTTGAAAGCTCTTTGGGGAACTCTTTTGTTTTAGTTGTTTTGTACCTCTTCAACTCCCCAGCAGTATATAGTCCATACTCTATAAATACTTCTGCGGTTGACACCAATTTTATCTCATATTGAGACTTGCTGAACAAAATCTCAGATTTGGAGAATCTTTTAGAACCAGAAAATAATGTTTTTAAAAACTAATACTATGGCAAGGGTTATCAATAGTATCATTATGGAAATTATCCTCAAACCTGTTTAAAATTTAATAACCTGAAATAGCATTGAAATCAAATTTTGCTACACAGTAGCGTTTGTTGTTAAAGAAAATAAATTGTAAATGTTAGCACACATTTATATTGTTCAATGCCAATGCTGATATTGCAATTCAGAGTGATCTTAAAGAATAAACTAGAGTTTGACAGTTAATTATTATTGCATATGTCAAATACTCATTTCTCAATGCCAAAGTTTTCCTCACTCAGAAAAAATGTGATTTTTTGTTATTATTTCCCTTCTGTCCTAAATGTTAGTGTCAGCTCAAAATGCATAAAAGAGCCCACAGGGAATAAACATATCCATTGTCATTATTAAAATAGGACTGCAGCTGTTTTGCACCTGTTGCAAAAATCTTTTTAGACATTCTCCATTGAGACTCTAATAATTCTGTGAATATGCAGTTCTGTACTTTTGCATGAGAAGAACCATGTAAATATTATACACAGTTTTGAAGGAACAGCTTTCTGAATTTTTTTCATAAAACTTTACATTGTAAGTCTCATACTAAAATCATCTTACTATTCTTTCATGGTTTATGTGGTCAATAACAGAAACATTTGGAATTGAGAATTAGCAATTAGCTTGCCTATCTCTCCTGCCATGATGGATGAGAAAATGTTACCCATGATTTTAGTAATAATAGCTAACATTTACTGAATGATTGGCATGTAGTTATTAGCAGTCTCATTTCATGAATACATAAACTGAGCCTTTAGAGAAGTCAAATCACTTGATCAAGGTTATGGAACTAGAAAGTGGCTGACCCAAAATCCCATGTTTTAAATCATTATGCAAGCTGCCTCCCCTCTGTGATAATAGCATTTGATTACCATCCTATTTTATACAAGATACACATGTGTGAAGTTTCCATTGAGATATAAAGCATCAACTTATGAAAACCTATTACATCCTTCAAAAGTAATGGCCCATAATCCAGAGTGATCCAATAAAAATCACAATGAATATTGTTCTATTTTTAGGAAAATAAAATATATTCATATAAATTGTTCTTTAGAATTATCTCTACAAATTACCCAGCATTTTTCAATCAAGTAATTTCTTGATTAATACGTATACCATCTTCAAAAGAAATCTTCAAGTACATACAACAGAAAAGCTTAATGGTACTCTACCTTGAACTAAATACAAAGAGACATAATTTCATGAGGTTGTGTGTTTTCTAGTCTCTTTCAAGTCTTTACCGAAATGTCAATTGATCATCTTAGAAAAAATTGCTAAAGAGAGATGTTTAAGAAAAAACTATGCTTAGAATATCATTTTATAAACGATTTGATAGAAATATAAGCTTACCAATTCACCAGTTAGATCCTCTGAAAATCTTTGAAGTAGGGATAGAAACATCCTTTAAGGCATGGCATCTTATTTTACAAATAATTAAGGTGAATTTTTTAAATTGATTTTAACCTACAGGATTACAAGCATATTAACATTAACAAACTGTTTCTTGGTAACAAATATTTCAGGCAAAATGGTCTTTTTTCCTTTTCATCAGATGCTATAAAGCACTGAAGCATTGCTCAAAGCATTCCTAAGCGGTCTAATGTGTTTGGTCTTTGTAATCCGGGCTTAAAATGCAGCATAGCTAGTAGGCTGACTAAGAAACTTTTCACCTCACCAAGACATTAATAACTTTTTTAAAAGTCAGTTATTATTTATTGAGCTCATTGTTATTTTTTACGTTGATATTTGAGTCATTTAACATAATTTCAACTCTAACATTTTTGGCACTTTGGTTTTGCCACACTAAGTCATCTTTAGTTATAGTATGTATCACTGGCCTAAATTTGCTATCTATGAAGGCAATATGGTATTTTTGAAGAAAAGCATATGTTTTAAAGCAGAGAAATCTAGATTTAAATGCCAGTATTGTCATGTATTAGTTCACTTAATCTCTCTCCAGGCTCCTTCTTTCTTCTTTTATAATCAAAGCAAAATATGACAAATTCACAAGCCTCTAGGGAAGATTTAAATTATATGTATAATTGGAATTATATAATACAGATATATTACATATGTACTCACATAATATAATTGTAGATCCTTAAAAAATGACTGAGTAAATAAAGATAAGTTAATATATTGAATATACAAAGTGCTTGATAGAAAGTGCTTTCTTTCCTCCTGTTCCCCTGGGTCATAAAATGATTCTCTGCAAAGAAAAACTTTACTGATACATTGTAATTTAGGGGAAAAAAGAATCATCCAAGTTAGCCATAGGTCTCAGACTATAATTTTTTATAGAATATTATCAATACTATTACTCCTCATAATGTTTTCTAGTAGTAGGCACTACTTTATAGATAAATTCATTTAAAATAAATGCTACTTACATATAAACCATAGATAATAGTAAATATTATAGAGTGCTAACTATGTGCCAGTACTGTTCCAAGCCTGTTTAAATATAATGACATAATTGTAATCCTCACAGGTAATTACTTTTTACTGATGAGGAAGCTAAGACTTTTGCAAGTGACTTGCCCAAGGCCACAACACTTACTGAGTGACAGAACAGGAATGAAAGCACAGGCAGTCTGACCACAGAGTTCACTCTGCTTTCCACTTTCTATAATAAATGTAAAAAGCATTTTTACTCTTAAATGGGTAAAACATGTTGTTTTACAATGTGGATTTCATTATTATTATCTTTCTTAAGCAAAACTATTTCTTTATGACATCCCCTGTGTGCCACTTGTAAACGGTCAATTATAAATAGTCCAAATAGATTAATATTTGTTGATCATTTTAAACAAGGAGAGAATATTGAAAACAAATTACATCAATTGAATTGAATTTTACAATTCATATTTTTACTAAACAGTAATTACTACCCATGCTTCAAACTATACATAAGTTCAGACACTTGCTTAATAAGGCATAACTATGATAACCAAATCTTCTCAATTTTTTAAATTCACTTCTGAAAAGAGAAGTACAAATTAGTATGAATACAATATTCAACTTCCTTCGAAGCTGTCTAAAAAGTAAAAACACTTTAACTGAACAAGATTAAGAAATAAAATAAATCTTCAGTTACATCATTAATTTTTAAATCTCTCAACAATCAAAATGGAGGGGGTTCATACTTAATTGTTCACCTTTAATATTCTTGTGGTGATCTCAGAACTAAGTTTAGAAGTTACAAACTAGCAAATGGGGATGGATCTAAATTATACCAGAAATAAATTATATTTCCGAGTATAAGGTTTATGAAAAAGTTATTTTAAAAGGCTACATAATTTTACCTGACTTTAAGATTTTGCCAACACATATCCACAATATTTCTGTACTGTTTTATTTTGCTTAAAAGCAGGGGATAGAACTAAATGAGCTTGATTCCTTTCTGAATTCTAGCCCATTAATACATAATTCAATATATTTTAAGATGTCCATGATAAAAGTTACAGAATTCTGCCTTTGCAATTTATTTTATATATATAAAATATATATATACATATAAATATATATACACATATATATATACATATAAATATATATACATATAAATATATATATACATATATATACATATAAATATATATATACATATATATACATATAAATATATATATACATATATATATTGAGACGGAGTCTCACACTGTGGCCCAGGATGGAGTGCAATGGCATGAGGGCTCACTGCAACCTCTCCGCATCCTGGGTTCAGGTGATTCTCCTGCCTCAGCCTCCTGAGTAGCTGGGATTAAAGGCGCACACCACCACACCTGGCTAATTTTTTGTATTTTTAGTAGAGACGGGGTTTCACTATGTTGGCCAGACTGGTCTCGAACTACTGACCTAATGACCCGCCCACCTCGGCCTCCCAAAGTGCTGGGATTACAGGTGAGAGCCACCACCCGTGGCCTATTTTATATTTTTTAGCTCCCCAGTCAACACCCCATTTGAGAATACCTTTAATGTGAATGATAGAATTAAAGAACATTCTTATATTGTAGCATAGTAGACAAAATTTAAGAAAAAGGAACATGGAGATACTTGACTATAATAAGTGAAATTAAATCTCAAAGTTTCAGCAACAAATGAACTCCATGGAAATGCTTGATCTCTAGCAATGTCGTAATTTAAATAGTTTTAATTTTGATCAAATTAGTTAAAGTCTTTATAAATGTTTGTTTGTTCATTTCAGAAGATGTGGAAATAAATTCATGGCCCATTGACTTTTTTTTAAGTAAACAAAAAAAAAAATAACCCTCTAAAACTGTCAACACTTCAGTACAGTTTTAAAATTTTTCCAGAAAGCAAAAATTCAGTGTCACATTATAAAATTGACTTTAATTGATTGGCAAAGCACTTTAAAGATTAGTAGTATTAATTGCTTAAAATATTCTGTGACATAAAATTTTTCATGTTTGTGAAAATTATTGCATTGTCTCTTTTAGAATCAGAAACTTCTTTCATATGAAAACTCTTAACCCTTTCATTTAATTCTGAAAATATAATATAGTTGATTTTGTGTCATACAGGGTTAATCCATTCTCCCCAGTGAAGTGCACAAATTTCAGCAATAACATATTCTGTTCCACTGTCATCCGTATAAAATATTGTTTACACTCCGGGACTATTGCTTCAGGAAATTATTGATGAGAGCAGCTGCTCCTTCAGAAGAAAAGTAGAAAAGCCCTTTCTGTCCAACCAGGGGCACTTTTAGTCCCTTGCTTTATCTCTATGGCACAGAAGCATGCAAGATTGGATTTCAGACTTTGAATATTAAAAAATAATAAAATGAAATAAAAATATTTCGAAAGAAATTCTTTAAAACTTCACTTGGGAACTTTTGTCAAGCTCTGAGCCATCTCCCTTTACTCAGAATCCTTTGTTAAAATGAAATGAAAAGCAGAGCCTAAGCTATATGGTGTAATCGGCATCCAACTTCAAATGCAACTCATTGCTACTGAACTAAACGTTGTAATTGCAATTATAACTCTACACTGGTTTATGCATAAATTATTCAAATTCATGCAATAGATTATTCAAACATTATCTCCAAGAAACACTTCTGAAAGCTCACTAACAATTATGCTACAACCCTTTACCAACAAATGTCATGCAATTAAAAGCTTAATGTGCTTTTTAGACCCTGAATTGGTCAATAACATTGTTTTAACAAAAATCTGTTTTTGGCTATAATTTACTATTAAAAATGTCTTTCTTGTCAAATCTTGAAAAACTTAACACTCTATTTCTGTAAAAAAAAAAAGGTTGAAAGTTCATCTACATTTTTTGAATAGGGTATGTATACTTCAAAAGACTAACTTCTTTTATAAAAATATGGAAATGTGAACATTTTTAAAAAGATTTTTAATGATGGTTGAAATGCTGATACAATGCCAATTTCATATGACCTAACTGACTTTTCTCACCAAGTTGCACAAAACTGTCTTTTCACACCAAAAATTGAATCAAACATTTGGATAACTACATGAGTACCAAAGTCAAGCATTTGGACCTGACTTTGCTCAAGTCATAAAACTCATAAATCTTGGGGCATCACTCATGTTGCAGATTTTGTGAATTGCCCCTTTAAGGACTGTATAATTCATGATTTACCTGGATATACCTGGTATCGCTGATTGCCTTCCTGGAGCACTGTATCAAGTAGGTCGTATAGAATGTTTTGCTTCAATATTATTGTCTGATCCTCTATGGGTGTCTCCGTGACCAGTGTACCATTTTTTTTTCTTTTGAGAGAGAGACTCAATAAATGATTACTGCCTAAACTCCAAGGAATTTATTACTCATCTTACTGAAAAGGCCCAGGCAGATGTTTCTTCTGCCATGGTTTGGTCTCCTACTGGCCCTCTTATTCCGATTGCTTCTTATTGGTTCTGAGTGGGTCATATGCCTATTTCTGAGCCAGGCACTGGGGCATTGACATGTTAATCTGGGATTGGCTAGGACTGAGTCACATAACCAGGAATAACATTGGAGAGTTACAAGGACACTATTCTTTGTTCTTGATATTTGCATATTTAAAATGTAAATACTTTCTTGCCTTGGTTATATGCAGATGACAAAATATCAAGAAGTTCTCTTGTTACTCATTATCTATTTTGCTTAACCTGTGAATGAAATGTTCTCTTCCACTCTTGAATAATACATATTCCCTTGGTGTGAAAAACAGAGGCTTGTACTTTGTCTTACTCTCAACTCACAATCTCTTCTTATTGAAGGTTAGAATTTACAGGCAGCCCTTGATAGCTGTATTTCTGCCAGCATAGCAGAGGTGCATACTATAAGCAACAGTGTGAAGTTCTATCTGTATGTACACATTTATCCCCCACATTATTCCATAAAAGCGTTCAACATGGCTTACAGAAAAATATGCTGTACAACAAGATGAAACCAAATGGGTTTTGGAATCACAGCTAAAGAAAAACAGGAATGTTGAGACAGCAGGAATAAGATTTTTGAAAGAATAATGATTATAACTGTCATAAACTTGTATGCAATCAAATTAAGAAACACTGTAAATTTGCTTTTGAGCTTCCGACCAGGAAGACCGCAGAGAAGATGATCAGCCACTTGACTAGTAAGAGTTTCTATAAGACTTAAAAAACAAAAACACACTCACAGAGACACACCAAACTCCACAACAGTAACAAAAGGGCACATCAATTTGTCCAACAGCCTAGGTACTAATAATTCAGAGAAATGCCTTACAGTGATCCCCTCAAAGAGACTTTGCTTTACACACTAATTTACCTTATCATTACATTAAATACATTACATGTCACTTTACATACTAATGTAACTGATTTTTCTTCCCCACTAAAGGGACTCAAGTATACAAAAAGGTGAGGCTGGCTCAAAGCTAACCTTAAAGAAGTTGCCCTGAAATGGTAGTCATAATTCCACCGCTAACAAGTGGAGATCTGCAACCTTATTTTTATTCTGTTTATGAAGCCCTGTGGCAGAAAAGGAAGGGAGATGCAGGTTGAGGATATGCCATAAACTGTTCAGTGTATGAGTATGGAATAGATATGAAACTATTAGCAGAATTTTTGCTGCCAGCAAAGAGAAATTCATGTATACAGGAGATGTAGTTTATCAGTTAGGACTCTCTGAGAAGAAAAACAAACCAGCAAAATTCAGCCTTCATTTTTCATTGTCAGAAAAATGAAATTGCTACAAAAACCTTGCATATCAAAATTATATTTATTATCATTCAAACAAAGTAAGACCAAAAGAATTAGAACTGCATTTTAAAGAAAAAAATAGCATTAATCTTTCTTCTTTCAACTTTACTGTAAAATAAAGTGATTAGATTTTGTATTTGCATTTAATGAATAATTTAGGAGTTATGAAGAAGGCACTAATTGTTGATGGAACAACCTTTGCTGAAGAACACTCTATTTAAATAACGAGAGTGCCTCAGGGTATTTCTGTCAGGAGAACCATTTCATTTCACTCTAGGAACTTTTACAGTTCAATGTTGCACTGCAGTACTGTAACTGAAAGAAAAAGTTTTAAGCAACACAGTTGTTTATGCACACCAATGGACAATCTCCAGAGAGATATTCTTTCTGATTTTTGGATAGTAGTAAGAGGGTAACAGATCATGTGGGGCACAAATATAAATAAAAATGGGTGGGGAATCATAAAGAATTTCACAAAAGCGTCATTGCCACAACAGTGTTACATACTTGGCTAATCTGTACTACACAGTCTGTAGTAACATCAATTGGTAATGAACTTATGGCCTATAAATGACACTGTCACGGGCTCCTTAAGGTGTTGCTTCACCAGCCAGAAATTTCTGTGGCAGGCAGCACCTTCTGACTGAGTATTTGCTCGTGCCCACTGGGTTTGTTCTGCCCACTCGGCCTGGCAGGCTGTGCTCAGCTTACGCTACAGGCCCAGGTCCCACACCTGCCAAGCGCAAGACAGGCACGAAGCGGTGAGGGTTATGTGAGCAAGTGAGAGTGGGTTCCAGCCACTGTGCACAGCCAGGTGGGCATGCTGGCTGCTTAGGCGGAGAAGTCAGCTCCAGGTGCCTGGCACAGGTGCCAGCTCTGTGCAGAGTCACAGCTGGATCAAATGCACTGCACGTGGCTTCTGCTGCAGGTACCCATGTCTAGATGAAGGGAATGCAGTGGCACCTGGAAGCTTGGAGATGCCAGGAACTGCAGAGACCCAAAGAGGGTATCACAGCCCTGGCTCAGGGAGTCCCTAGGTCTGGACTCCCCAAAGGGCCACATCTCTTCTCTCCTTCTTGTTGCCTGCAAGCAGGAGAGAAGCAGGGATTGGGGGTGGGTTGCAGGGTCATGTTTCAGCTCTGTTTGTGTTATAGCTCTTTTAGTCCCGCCATTCAGCAGGTCCAAAGTTCTTGTCCCATGTCCTGGAAAAATGAGGTACACAGACACCTGGAGGATAAGCACGGTGGAGAAGAGCTTCATTGAGCAGCAGAACAGTTCTCAGGAGACCCAATGGCCATAGCTCCTTTCCACTGGCAGATCATCCCGATGTCTGTGCAGCCCTCAGTGGAGAGGAGAGGAGACCCAGAGTGAGTAGCTCCTACCTGCAGTCAGGTCACCCCATTGTCTGCCCAAGTCTAGCTGTATCTGGGGGTTTTTATGGGTTTCCAAGGAAAGGAAGTGCATGCTGATTGGTCCATAAGCAGCCATGGGCGCCCCAGAAAAAGCACCATAAGTTCTCACTCCAGTCCACGGAACTGGCAGCCCAGTCCTCAGGCCTCAGGCCTCAGGCCAGCATTGGCTTGAAGGTAGGGCTTCACCGGGGACCTGTCCATTTTTTCCCAGGATTCTGTCTGCTTCCTGCCACCATCAACCTGCTCTCCATGGTGCCCATGGCACCCAGGCTGTTTGTGCCAGGGGGTGCCTGCAGGCCCTTGCCAAGCTGCCCTCAGCACCCCTGGCCTCCCTCCTGTGCTTGTCAGTGCCCAAAGTCTGGAGGGGGCCAAGGCAACAAGGGGCTGGTGTGTCAGCACTGCCCCAAGCACACACACTTAGCCGGGTTGCAACAGTGCCTGGGCTCAGCCTCAACTTTGCAGGCACTGGGAGCAGGGAGAGGCCAGGCAGCAAGAGCAGAGACTTCTGAGCCTACAGGGGCATGAGGGCTTCCCAGTCCCGAGAGCACTGGAATGCCAAGGTCCGCAGCCTCAGCTGGGGCTTGGGGCAGTGCTGACACACCAGCCCCTTGTTGCCTTGGCCCCCTCCAGACTTTGGGCACTGACAAGCACAGGAGGGAGGCCAGGGGTGCTGAGGGCAGCTTGGCAAGGGCCTGCAGGCACCCCTTGGCACAAACAGCCTGGGTGCCATGGGCACCATGGAGAGCAGGTTGATGGTGGCAGGAAGCAGACAGGATCCTGGGAAAAAATGGACAGGTCCCCGGTGAAGCCCTACCTTCAAGCAACTGTGCCTGGGAGGGTGGGGCTCCCACCCTTCCAACTCAGAAGCAGAAGGGGCTCCCACCTATTCCTAGCTCCCACTGGGTCTGTGGAGTGCTCAGCCCCAGCCGTACCTTCCCCACTGCAGAAGGCATCATGGCAGCAGTTGCTCCAGATGGGCCACCACTGTCATCAACACCAGCAATCACTTTACCAATAACCCAACAAGGAGATTCAGTCAACCCATATTTACTGAGTGCTTGCTGTATATGAAGTACTTTTCTGGACATTAAAGTAAGAGAAGCCTCTATGTATTTATGAATCATGAAAGCTCACAAACATTATGTTTCGTATAAGAAGAGACCATCAAACCAGAGAGAGGGGAACATGGTTATGGATCTTTCACTCTGTAGATGTAGGAATTAGGTTTTAGGCTGCTGCAATAAATTTTTAATGAAGAAAAATAAAGCCAGGAGCAGTGGCTCACACCTGTAATCCCAGTAATTTGGGAGGTCAAGGTGGACAGATTCCTTGGGCCCAGGACTTCAAGACCAGCCTGGGCAACATAGTGAAACTCTGTCTCTATAAAAAATACAAAACTTAGGTGGGAGGATCACCTGAGCCTGGGTATGTTGAGGCTGCAGTGAACCAGGATCACACCACTGTACTTCACCTTGGGCAACAGACTAAGACCCCATCTCAAAAAAAAAATGTTTTAAAAGAAAAATAGATATGTTATTAAAACAAAACAGAGAATAATTATACTAATTTCTGGGGCAGTTATTTGGATGAACAGTTTGAATCTGAAGTGAGAGATGAGGGAAAAGTGGAGGATGGCAAAGGGCTAGTTTGTGCTGAAGCAAAACTCTTCCCTTGCATTATGCAGGCTAAAATGTAAAGCAGAGATATGGAAATGAAATTCTGAAGGATTTTCTTCTATACCCAACTATGGCCAGATCAAACATGTTTCTGCATTAAAAATAGACCATTAGGGATACAATAAAATATTTGGATCATGAGCTTATGGTTATTTGCACCTTATACATTTTTTCATGTTCCAATTGTTCTGCAATAAACACCAATTACTTCTAAAACCAGAAAAGGTAATGAATTATAATATTAACTCTAATAAAAATATATTTGTATTTGCTTTCACATGTTCCAAAGTACATTTAAATGGTATTTTATATTTATGTAAATACATATGCACTTGAATGCACACTTACATACGTATATCACCCATATATTATGCCCTCAGCACAGAGTTATTGGTTTTCACTTCGCTGTGCAAGTCAAGGTTCCATTAGCATGGGATCATGCTGTGAAAACCAGCAACTGTTAAGAATGATGAAGACATTAATTTTCACGTCTCTGGTCAATGTTGCAGAATGCTTAAAATAATTATGTATTATTTCCAAAGTTATACATTCTAACTCTATGAATTCTGAAAGTGTGTGTTTTTTCAACATACAGCTAAGGAGAAAGGTTCATATGGCTTTCACGGTCATCAAATGCTAAATAAAAATCTCTGTTAATTTTATATATTGAAGAAACCTATTTATTTTTGTATATTGAAGAAACTCTGAATACATGTAAATTTTTAACTCAGCAGGGTTTTCAAGAGAAAATATGTTGTGCACTAAAAAATATCGGCCTAGAGTGAGAGTGTAAGTTTAGGAAAGACCTACAGCAGTTGCCTCCATTTAGAGTAAAAAGGCTTTGCACGTCCAATTAATCATGGGGATTCCATAACACTCTGCTATATTTTAGGACATGCAATAGGCTACAGTGGATGTTAGAACATGTAAGACTTCATATAATTCAATCAATAATTCTATTTAATTGAGAAACATTTATTGAATACTTATTACCAGTAACCAAAAAAGTGCTGGAATTTGTGATCAGATGAGCTACATATATGGGGAATAAATATTAATTAACCTTTGTTTTTCTATTACATTCTCATTTATATTTTGAATGGATTCTCATTCCATAGTCATAGATATGTAACCTGGTCTCACATCTCTCCGCTACTTGTATCTCATACACAAACATGTACACACACAGACACACATACATACACATACACAATTTGCTAGATTTGCATGCAAGTTGCTGAAAATTTAAGTACAATCAAGATGTTAGAGATAAGCAGCTCCATTTGGTCCTCTGTCATCATTTATCTTTGCAGCCCTCAAACCTTATCTCATTTGGTATTTGGTTGTCCGCACATTTCTGTTGCTGCTAAGTCACTCCTTTTATAATTCAGAACTCTCTTCCAGGCCCTGGATCCTTAGGAGTAATTCCTTGCCACTGAGATATTTTAGTTACGAATTAATTCTCTAACTTCAAACCACGCTGAACTGCAAGTAAGTAGAGGAAGCTAAGGTCCTCATCTGCCCAGACACACTACACAGTAATTTACTCTTTGTATATCCAGTATCTGAAAATCTCTTCCAAAAGATTAAGCAACAAGTACCTTTTACTCTCATATTCCAGGAGCCTATGTAGGGCTTATGTTACCATCATGAAAAGAACTTGGTTCAAGAAAATGGGCCCAGAGCTCCTTCCATAGGATCATCCTATCAAGGTCTTTTTACTTTTTAACAAACTTTTCCTCCCACATAGCCCAAGCAACCTTTACATGTCTTTAGAAAACTTGCTCATAATTAGTGTGCATTCTTCTTATATTTTGTGTGTGTTGGTGTGTGGTGTGTGATACCATTTTAACTACCTTATATTTTCAATTGCTCCTGAAATAGTCTGCCAGATTATTTTACTTTGACCTACTACTCAGGGATATTCAATAGCTTCTCATTGCCTCTTAAACTCACATAACAAACATGCATGTCCTGCACATGTATCCAGAACTTAAAATAAAATTAAATTAAAATTAAAAAAGAAAAACACCGTCCTTATTTTATTTAAATATCTTGAGAAATATAAATTCATTATAACTTTTCTCCTACTACTTCCTGTAATAGATCACTCTTGTGAGACTGATCTCATTAGAATGGCCTCATCATTACTCCCAACATATGTCACCAAGCTCCAATCTTGTTAATATTGCTCACCAAAACTCAATTCCAGACATCTCTCTTCCATTAAGCATTCCCCAGTCCTTTGCCCATCTTGATCACTGTTTGGTCAGGCAACTGTTAACAATGTATAAATCACTTTCTGTATACTGTCTACTCTTTTTTATACTACACTTATATTCCTTTGGGTATTATGGATTGGAAGCCTCTCACAGAGTCCATGGCAGGTAGTATACACTTGGACAAAATGCTATGAATAAATACTTGGCAAATTACTCTAATATGTACATAGAGTCCTCAAAAGAGAAGGAGGAAAAGACAGCAGCACTGTTTCAGACATTTCTCTATTTTATTGTGATCCAAGTAAATACAAAATACTCCAGTAATTAAATATTGAATTTACTTCTGGCCATGTAGCCATTTAGGGAATTTCATATTGCAAGAACACACTGTGTATTAACACATTGTGTTAATACAAAACTAATACTCTGACACTATCACTTGATTTTTAATGTCTTGATAATTCTTGACCCAACTCTGCCTTTGTTGGTGCAATGCTTAATGCAGTCTCTTGAGAAGAGTTGTTTATTCTTCAGTCTCTTAGAACTAAAAATTTCTGTTTGCTTTGGCTGTTTCTTCAGAAGCGCTTTAAACACTAATACATTATTTAAAGTAAAAACACAAGTATGAACCTATTTCTATTGGATATTTTATGTTCATTTGTTTGCAGAGACAGAAATATGAGAACACAATCATTATCTTTGTATATGCAAGTAATTCGAGTTGCCAGAGGCCCTTTATGTTTACTAAAACAGGGATGGCTTCCAATAATCTGTGAGAGATTATATTAAACTATGGATCTCTAGATACAATTTCCTTCCTCCATTCTATCACTTTTTTCTTTCTGATGGTAGATTTTCAAAGATTATGTGACAATAAGCCTTCAGTGTTGCATCATTTTATTGGGAAGTTTTTATTTCCCACGGGGTAATATTCTTTCTGGAACCACATTTAGAGATCATTTCTAAGGGTTGCCTTCTTTACCTTGGGAGATCTCAACTAGAAAGTAAGCTCCAGGGACTTTTTTTTTTTTTGACCACTGCTGAATCTACAGCACCTAGAAGAGTCCTTGACATTCAATCAACATTTCTTTATGAATGACTGAATCAGAAAAAGTTTATTTTCTCTCTATAATTTATCTTTTCTTTGTTTATGCCTTTCTTAAAAGTACCTAACCTCCCCCTAACCCCTAGGCTGCACATACTAGTGATATCTTCAGAAGCAAATTGACAGAGACAGTTTTAAACTGTTCTAAATGATAGTAGAACTCTAGTTGATATGAACTGGGCAAATATTTATAGACATAATTTAATATTTATAGATCTTCTGTAAACCTAAATATTATCTATAGGTTATAATACCTCCCCCAAAAAATGTTGCTTGATTTTCTCAATGTTGAATAGGTTTTCATAAGCATAATATAAATTGTTTAAAGCTATTTTCATATAGGAACCTAGGAGAGAAGTAAATGCCACCTCTATTCAGTCTAAATCTACACAGCATTTAATAATACAATAAAAGTAAGGAAGGTAAGGAGGAAGAAAGCTCAATATCTATTGAATCAAAATATGAAAGTTATTGAAAAAAGTCAGCTGTTTTAGATCAGATAGATTTTTAAAAACTAATCATCTTACAGGTATAGATATTTTACTTTCAAACAGAATTTCACTATCAATATAAACACTTATCTCCTAAGGACTGTGATCACATGAAGATAACATCTGAGTAAACCGTCAAGAAAACTGGGAGTTCTTAGAAGCTCTGACTTCTTTAATTATACTATGCATTACTAAATTCCTTTATGTAGTGATTGCATTATTAATATTTAAGAAGGGAAGCTGATTCCTATTTAACTTTTGTTGCAGGAGCTCACCATGTAGCAGTAATCCCTTTGTAAGAACAAGGAAGCCATGCACCTCCAGCTGTGATAGAAATAGGATTGGAGAAGAGTTCCTCTGCCAGCTCACCTTTTCATTGTTAGCATGCCATTTATTATAATAAATTACTTTAAGAGGCACATTTTACAGTATCACTTCTGCTTGTTTTACTTGATCTTCGCTTTGGATACATATTGATATATTAAAATAGCTTGCACTTTTATGGAAAGCTTTATTTAAAGGTAAACTTGTTTTTTATTGTTGAATCACATAACTTAAATTCTATCTTAAAGTATTAAAATTGTGCATATTTTGAATCTAGGAAAATGGAGGCATCAAATAGTAACATAAATGTTTTTTAAAAATCATTTTACTATCTAATCCCTTTATTCTAATTAGATCAGGGCCCTCTAGGTTTGACTTTTTCTTATCTTTGCCATTATTAGTTTGTTTGGGGTTTTGTGTGGTTTTTATTATTATTGTGTTAAAAATACTTAGCATGAGATCTACCTTCTTAAAATTTTAAAGCTACAAGTCATTATTGTTTACTATAGGTACCATGCCTTACAGCAGATCTCTAGAGTTTATTCATCTTGTTTGACTAAAGCTATTAATATATGCCCTTTGATTACCAATTTCCTATTTCCCACTTCCCACAGAACCCGGTAACCACCATTTCACTCCTCGATTCTACGAATTTGACTATTTTACCCATCTCATATAAGTGGAATCATGCAGTGTTCGTCTTTCTGTGACAGACATTTCAGTTGGCATAATGTCCTCAAGTTTCATCCATGTTATTGGCAGATTGGCACAATTTCCTTCATTTTCAGGTTGGATACTATTCTACTGTATTTATTTTTGTTGTTTTTTTTTAAGATCACTTAAGCATATACATATATGCACACACATATATAGATTCCAGACACATTAAAAGTTACTATATATTTTTAGATAAAATAGCTGAATTTTGATTCCCCATGAAAAGACAGCATTATATTTTGATCCATTGAAGAGACACAAATGTTTATATGAGAAATATTTCAAATTACTTTTCATAGACTATATAAAAGAGGTATAAAATACAAGACACATGTATACACACGCATACATAAATTTTGCTATTGCTTTTACTATAACTGAAATCATATCCATAGATTTTATGTACTTTGTTTTTCACACTCCAAAACGTATCATGGAAATCTCTCCAGGTTAACTGACGGAGAGTTAATTTATTATTTGTTAACAGCAGCATAATATTTCATAGTGTAAATGCCCTAATGTGTATATCATTTTCCTATTGGTCAGGCTTTCTCTTTAACTCAAACATTTTTTTTTCCTTTTTTTTACAAACTATATTAAGTCATGATATTCTGGTTCTATATGATAGATTCCTGTGAATAAAATTGCTAAACAAAAGTTTATCTTTGTTTTAATAGATGTTGCCAGATTACTTTCTCAAACAGCTGTGTTATACTCACTTTCCCTGGTCTGTGCAGTAGCTCTTCTTGACATCTCCACCAGTGATGGGAAATGCAATTCTATTTATTTTTTGACAGGTCTATGAATATAATTTAATACCTTGTTTTCTGTATTTGGTCATATGTGTCTATGTATGCAAACAAATTTTCTTGACTACTAAATTAGAACATTTTTTCTTAAACATGTTGGCCAATCATTACTCCTACTTCCTTAGAGCATCCAATTCAAGGCAAAGCCTTATTTCTGTGAACCCTCTCCAAAATCACTTCATACAAGCTTAAATCCTTAAATGTTATCTTTTAACATTCTGAGACACCTAATGGTTTCCCACGATGTTTTTGCTCCTTTGCAACAAACAGCAATAAATTAAACTTGTTTAAATGTGGGTTGTCCCTGGTATTCTTTGCCTGGCAGGCATTGACACCAGATGGGAAGATTAACAACACAAATGTATCAATTGTCTCAAAACTAATATTTGTTTTGTATATTTTAAGACATTACAACTAGAGTCCTCACTTTGTGTGCATTGTGAACAGGGATTTGCTCAAAATTATCCTCATCTTCACAAAGAAGTAGAAATGCTCAAGAATAGTGTAAAAAATTTTAAAGTTAGAACAATAGGAGAAATAAAGGTATGTTTATAAAGTCGCAATAGGAGGGCCCCTGTGTTGATAGAACTGTTGAGTATCTTAACTGTGGTGGTAAGTACATAAAACTGCATGTGAGAAGATTGTTTAGAACACACTCACACAAATGAGTTCAGTAAAACTAGAAAAATCAGAATAATGTTGGCTGATTGTATCAATATCATGGTTCTGATATTATGCTATAATTTTGCAAAAAGCTACCATTGGGGAAAACTTGGAAAAGGACACAAGGGATATCCCTGTACTAGATCTTATAACTGCATGTGAATCTTTAACTACTTCAAGTTTTTCAATTAAAAAAAGGAATAGCAAGGTTTGTGGGAACTTGCATTATCAGAAGGCACATTTTACCTAAAATCAGTGAACACGAACAATAGGTATTGGTATAAAACTAGATAAATCAGCAGACTAGAATATAAAATCTAGAAGTATATTCATACATTCATTATTATTTATATCTATTCATCTATTTTTTATTTAGAAATTGTTGTTTAGATTAGTGAAAAGTGTTTCAAACTTCTTGGAAGCAATATATGATGCCATGTAAATGAGTATCATATTATATTTTAATCAATTATTTGATATATTGAATGTAACCCATAATTTAATGAAAAGCAACACTATTGCTCTATCAGAATAATATAAATTCTATTTTTTAATGTTGCATATTATACTTTAATTGTATCTTTTCCATGAGAAGTTACACCTCGGGTATATTCAGTAAAAGTGCTCCCCTCGGGTATTATACAGTAGAAGTGGAAAATATTCTCTAGTATTAAAAATATACATAGTTACTGATATTGTACAAAGCAAAAGAGAACCTCTCAACCCAAGTAACACATAAACTTCCCAAGAAAGATTTCAACTATGGAAGTTTCTCCATAAGGCCAAAGCATTCTTCTTCTAAACTTCATTAGAAATTTTCAGATAAATCTAATACCTAATGCCTCTTTCCTAAGACTCACTTATCTCTGGGAAGTAAGTTTCTTGTTCTTGCTCTGTTATCATTTATCTTGATTTCTTTAATTCTTTTTTAGCTGGTCTCCTTAATCCTCTTAATTACAGTGTCTTCAAAACTCACCCCTATGTACTCTACTAGAACTATTATCAGATCATTTCATTATCAATTATCTGTAAAATTAGTTCTTAAATTATTCTTAGTTTTTAATAACTTACTGTTCTCACCTGTCAACCTCTCCAGTCTAAGGTAGTATTTTTAGATATGTTTCTTATTCTGTTTCTCGGAGCCATTAATCAAAAGCCACACCAATTTTCTTTTCTCACAAATACTGTGGAGTGCCCTACATCTCCTCAGGATCTAGGGCAAAAAGCAGTGTTTCTCAAAGTTAGTGGGCCTAAGAATCACCAAAGGTGCTTGCCAAATTTCCACCTCTGTTTCATAAATCCTGACTAGAAGGCCTGGGATTTTAAACAAACACCCCAGGTGTATAGATAATTCTTAAGAAACCCAGAAGTACAAATAGGAAGGATAAATGATTCCCATCTAGGTGTCTTTCTAACAGATTCTAAAACATCCCATTGGAAATGTCTCAGTGTTTTGGCCAATACTTGAAAGACTCTAGCACTGCTTCTATTAAATCTCCGAGATAAAATATGGATAGTACTTCAGTCTACTCATACAAGAAGGTGAGACTAAGTTTAGTGATAAGGGAAGGTGGAGGCCCAATGAAATCAAACAATTGCTTTCATATCACTGAGCCTCAGTTTCTTCTTCTGTAATATGAGGATAATATTCTACTCCACAGAATAATTATGAATGTTAAATGAGATAATATATAAAGTATTTATCGCTAAGTCAAAACTGTTATAAGGGCTAAGTAAATATTTGCTTGTATTTTTCTTCTGGAAACTTTTCACACTTTTCTGAGATATTTTTATTCTTAGTAACTATTCACATTTCCAAAAGAACATGGACTGATTGAAACATCTTGTACTTTGCTAGGATCTTGAAGGTGCTTAAACGATTATTGGACCAGAAACTCAACCAAACACATTTTTTTGGTTATCCTTATGTGTTCAATTTTTCTTTGTTCAAAATGATGAAAATTACCAGAAAACTAAGAGGAAAATCTCATAAGCATAGGTGTGTCTGCTGGGAAAAAAGACACCTCCTTCATGTCACAGTATTATTTTGCCTCTACTTGTGTCCTAATATAACGCCTCAAAGTTCCAGAGAAACAACATCTTCCTCTGTAGAAAGGTAATAGCATCACAACTTATAGCAATAGATCTATTTGTTCTGTAAGCATTATAAATATTTCACATTTTCCATAAAGTTTGAAAAGGGAAACAAACAAAAGCTATGAATGTTGTCTCATAGACAGCCTTATTAGAGAAGACTGCCCTTGTCTTCCACAAGGTCCAAGAGAAAAATTGCTGATGGTTCGTGCTCCTAAAAAGGAAAGACAAACCACCCTCTTGGTTTCAATCAGTGTCCCACCAAAAGGATTTTATAATTCACTATCTTATTTGGGAGCAATGAGTGTTGAGAGAGCACACACCTGGATAATCCTAAGATGTCTCCTCTTGAGCTCCAGAAAACAATGGGCTGGTCATTTCTTCAAAACTCAGCAGGTGCCAGACACTGTGCCTACCACCCTTGAGGAGTTTCTGGTCTGATGACAGAAGGTCTTTGAGTAACACTTTCTTCTCCTTGGTTGCACATTTCTCATCAAGTATCCATATCTTCATGCCAGAATGGTCCTCCCAGAGCCATACTTCTTGGTCTGTACATTTTTCTGTTTTCTTTTTCTTTTTTATTACTTCATCAAAACTGCCCTTTTAGGCTCAGGTGTCTGAGAATATATTATTGTTTACTTCTCCTGGCTGAGATGATGAGATACTGTAGAGACCTAACATAGTCACCTCAATCCTAGTAAATCTTTTTCACTTTAACAAGTACCTCGCCTAAAGAAAGACATATTTTAGGACATGCAAGCCTCACAATGCCTTTAAATTGTCTTGTATATGTAGTCATTAGCTCTACATTCCTGTGTCCAACTTTGAATAATGTGTATATTCAATAAAATGAAAAAATGAAAATTTGACATCTAATACATAGTAGGGACTCTCTTAGATTTTAGGCACTTAAAAGCTGATTTTATCTATCAGTATCGAGTATCCATGCAATACCAAAAAGTCTTTATGCCCTTCACATAGATTAGCTCACAATAGCCCTATGAATAAAGAACTATTACCCCCATTTTATATATAAGAATGCTGAAAAACAAAGAGGTACAACATACTTGCCAAGGACACACAGCAGCTAGATATTAGAGCCATGATTGAAACCCAGGCATTTTGGTTCTGGAGACCACATGCTTAAGCATTATGCTTTATCACTTTAAGAAATTTTTCATGAGAGTCAGAGCTCTCAGTCTAATGGGACCACAGTTGTGAAAGAATTAACAATAATAACACACATGAGCTATATAGTAGATGCTGTAGCCTGAAGGATATATGCTTCAAAATGCTGGGATTCCTCAGCTGTCAATTCTTTTCAAAATTGCTCCAAATGAAAAGAATCACCTTGCCCAAAGTCAGACCCCTCTTTAGAATAGCCCACAGACCATGAATGATTGATAGGGAGGACTAATCTGAGGGCCCTTCATGTTCACAACATTCCATGGAGCTCACTGAGGTCTTCTTTGAAACTGCATCACAGCCCAGTATTTCCCTCTGCTCAATCCTGCTTCCTTCCCTTGTCTTCCATAGGTGTTAATCCCCAGAACGATCCCTAATAAACAGCCTGCATTTTAATCGCCATCTCTGATAGGACAGCCTGATTCCCATCCTGCATGCTAATCTCCATCTCAGAGTCAGATTCCTGGGACTCTGTTCCTAACACATTATTTAATATAAGCAAAATTTGAGGGAGGTGAGAAGGAGTTTCATTAACTTCTAGAGGAAATTCTACTGGCATTACCAAGGGGTAAGAGAAGTGTGTCTAATTCAGTTCTTAGTTGTAAACAAGAAAATCCAATCTGGCTAGTTTCCCTTTCAAAACGGTAATTATGAAAGAACATTAAGTATTTTGCAGAATCTCTGGGAGGATTGGTGAACAACGTTCTGAAGTTATATTTACAGAAACAATGCCCACACACATGCAGCCATCTCTACCTAAAAGATTGCTGTCTCAGTCACACAGCAATCATCACATCTGGGATTGGGCTCCAAAACACCTGCTACCACCCAGAGAACCTTCACCATCATGCTTATCAGAATACAAATTCCCACACATGGCCACCTCAAAATGTTGCTAATCTCTGAATCATATTGATTTCACAGAAAATTGGTCACCTGCTTGCATCCCAGCAACAAAGGCACTAGAGGATGTGCATTTGCAGAAGGTGGGACTCACTGGGGAAAGTATCAAAATGTAAGGAGAACATTCCAAGATGACGGCTGGTCACAAACAATCAATGTCCATCCAATATGGGACTAGTTCGATTTTTGTCTTTATATGAAAGAGTGACTGTGTAGTCTTTCCAGGGTTTGTAGAGTACCACAGCAATGGGAATAGGAAATTAATAGCCAATCTCTCTTTCTTAACCAAATGTTTACTGGTTTTTTTCCTCCTCTATATGCCCACAGAAAGTAGTATTAGATTAATTATGTATATTTATTATGTGTTGAAAGCATTTTGCATTTCCTTTTAACTTGTTCTTAATCAATTTTTAATGGTTTCATCTTTACATTTTAAATTCACTGTAGAGTTTGTATTGCACAAGAACATGGACCAAGGGCAATTATCAAATAAAATATGACATTATTAGAAGTAACCATCCAAATGGTTTATGCTTGCTTGCGGAAAAAAAAATCGTAGAATTGTGGTACATATTCACATATTTTACTCATAATCACAATACAATTCTGTGTCTCATCCATACCATTTATTTCTGTATTATTTCTGACTTAAACTACCTTAGTTGAAAAACTAGTCGTCAAAATTATTTTTAAAGTCAGTTTATAATAAGCCAATTCCTGCTGCCATTTTATAATACAAATTATAATTTAATTGTATACAGTCAGATTACTCTTATGAACATATCAGTTAAAATCTTCAAAATGTTGATATTCTCTTAATATGACTCTGGTTTAGTTAAATGAAAGGGTGGTTTGGAAAGCTATAATCTCAGATGCGGGATCTGTAACAGGGGATAATATCTCATCCGATCACGGCAGCTGGATGTTTCACACCATTTGCCTGAGAACTGTTGACAGGCAAATGAGAGGCTCCGTGAAAGCAGGAGAATCTGGAATACCACTTTACATTTTGTCTAAAATTTTTCACATCGAAACAAAAGACACATACACATAACACACACACGGTATTTTGATGGAATATTTTATTGGGCTGTTGGTTTTTTAAACGCTATCATACATGAGGTTTGTATCAACCTTTAGCACCTATTCGCCACTCAATCTTTTTTGGACCCCACTCAAAGCAAAATTACATATGCCATAGCAATAGCATTCACAGTATTTATCTTCATGATAATTAAGAAAAAAATAATTACAGGACTTTCCAATATCCTACTTATAAAGTTATTTTAATGTGTGGGGCATTTGCCTAAATACAGAAGACAAAATCTCTGTGGCTGTCTTCTGAGTCAGAACTTTTCCTTAGATGTAAAATTCTGATGTGCTTCTTAGTACTTGAAGGAATTAAATGTAATTTGCATCTGATAGCTTTGTTTCTGATAGTAATTATGTATCTAGAAAAATGAAAGAATGTAGTTTCTGATAAACTAGTGTTGGATTCAAGAAAAGAAAGCATTTTCTTTATTAATAAATGGTATGAAAAGGAAAATATTTGACTATTGAACTGCCTATGCAAAAAAAAAAAAAGTATCGACAAACAGATTAATTGAAAAAGTTGCTCCAACCACATTAGGGAACTGGTTTGGAAGAAGAAACAAAGACATGATTGACATTTTAGCTTTTTAGCTAATTGCTTTGGCAATGTATTCAAACAAATGTGGTTTCATGGCTTTATTTTTTCTCTGGCACTCTTGAGGAATTCACCACCATCTAACCCAAGTGGAAAACAACGTAAAACAAACCAAGAAATAATAATAAATCTTTTCATATTAATATAATAAATACACAAGTATACTTGATGTCAGAATTGTTTATAGGATGATTTCCTCCAACGTTTGCTGAACAACTGGAAATTTCAGCCAAACAGACAAATTGCAAAACTCAAAGCTTAGTGGAAATGTGGCTAGACAGAAACAAGATCAGATGACAACACAGATTAAGTACAAAGCAAAGATCTGCTATGTTTACTGAGTGTGTTAGAGGAAAAATAAATAGCTGTTTATTTGGAACAAAGATGCAAGAAGACTTAGGCCAAAAAATGTAATTCTAATTGTTAGCAGGCAACAAGGTGAAGGGTTAATGAGCTCAAGGCTTGAATCCTATCTCTAACCACTTCCTAGCTGGGTGACTTGCAGGAAGTTGCGTTCATTTAGCTTGAGTTTCTTCATCAATTAAATAAGGCAAATGTTAATATCTACCTGATAGGTGTTAGAATGAAATTCTCTTTGGTAGAAAATACCCAATACCTATTTTTTTCAGAGACAAACATAATTCATCCTAATATTGAATTCCTCTCAAAGATAACAAAAGTGAAGATGAAATGTCAAAAATAGTAGACCAATTAATAGAACTTGAATGTATATATGACAATATATAGCATACCCTGAGAGAAATAGCCTATTTAAGAGAGTTTTATAAGGGCACCAGGTACTCTGATTGTATCCACTCTGGGCATGTTCAGTATTTAATGTATAATAATTTTCAAACTGTATCCAACAAGTTCAGGTATTGATATGCTGTAAGACCTACAGTGGTTTCCAACTGTGTTTAGAAGAAAACAAAGGTTTTTTATTTGTTTTTTAAAAATAATAGAATAATAATATGGTTAGAAAGGTATATATTTTATTGTATATTCATGGTAGTATGACTTTAAAACTATTAGAGAAACAGAGAGTTTTAATAACAACATTTTTAGACTCTGACTTATATGTTGGCCAACTATTTTGAGTTAAGGAATAGTTTAATGTAGTCTAGGAATCTCTAGCTTCAGATGATATCCAGACAGGTCTGTTTCCCAGTCATCCCACATGTAGCCAGCCATCTTCCTGGTAATGAGTTGGAGTCAGCCTATCAGCTATTCCTGTCACTTCATTTTTACTTGAAGACTCAGATTTTAAGGGGCTCAGCAACCCATTGCAGCCCATCCAGATTTATTTTTAAAGAATGGGGTCAGTGTGTGTTATATAAAATCAGACACAGGCTCATTCTTCTGCCCACCCCTTCTTCATCTCTAGTGTTTCCTCTGTCAACTTTCCTCCCTGGTCTCATGTGCTGAGACGATTTCAGTGCTCTGGTTGCAATTTACAGAAAGTGATTAGAGTGAAGCGAACTGTTCTCTTGAACAAGTATCAGTACGAGGAATCTGTCCACATATACAAGCCTCTGGTAGTGCAAGGTGGATGGGCATTAGGCAAATAAACTAGGACAACATGCAGAGAAAAAAGCAGGATAACAGAGTCAATGTAAAGGAAGTATCCAGGCCAAAAAATCAAGACCAGTTAATGAAAACTATATCCCAGGCAAAGGGGCTGAAACCAGAAATGGCAAAATAGAAGAGGGGTGATTACCCGAGACTCCATTTAAAAAATGATCTTTACGAGTTCTGTGAGAACTCTGCTTTGGGTAAGTAATAAGGCTGAATTTGGTCAATAAATCTTGGCATTTGCAGTAAAATCTTTCCATTCAACATACTCCTAGAAATGGCGGCCGTTGTCATTACTTGTAAACTTTCAGGTGTTTGTATTCTGCTGAGCTCTGCCCAACCTGATAATTATTTGCACGTATTCTGCTGCAATTGGTTTTCTCTGACACAATGGAGTGATTGGAATGGTAATATTCTACTTCCTTTATCTGAAAGAATCCCTATCAGTTTGAAACATGAGAGAAAAATAGACTCACAATGGGACAGAAATATTGTTGACACAATGTTTCTTTGTAACACCATTAACTATCAGTTCCTGTGACAGCAACAAAGATGTTCCTGTTTCAATATTTCCAACCCAATTGAGAGAAGATTTCAAAAACACATGGGGGGTGGGGCAGAGCCTTTTCATGGGAAAGTACTAATATTCTGTACTTCTAAAGGATTAATATCTTTTTCCCCCACAAAAGAATTCATGCATCTATTTTCAATAATACCAATTCTTATCCGTGTTATTTGGTTATTCCTAGTAATAATAATAAATTATAATTATTTAGAAACCTGTAGAAAAAAATGTATTTTCCAGACACCAAACTTAAATTATGAATTTTAGGCTTGATACTGTAACTGTCCAACAAGTTTACCTTACCCACTGCCTAGACAGAGCCGATTTATCAAGACAGGAGAACTGCAATAGAGAAAGAGTTTAACTCACACAGAGCCAGCTGTACAGGAGACCAGAGTTTTATTATCACTCAAATCAATCTCACTGAGAATTCAGGGACTGGGATTTTTAAGGATAATTTGGTGGATAGGGGGCCAGTGAGTTGGGAGTGCTGACTGGTTGGGTCAGAGATAAAATTATAGGGAGTTGAAGCTGTCCTCTTGCACTGAGTCAGTTCCTGGGTGGGGGTCACAAGACCAGATGAGCCAGTTTATCAATCTAGGTGGTGCCAGCTGAGCAATCGAGTGCAGGGTCTCCAAAATATCTCCAGCACTGTAAAACCTATCTTAAGTTTTACAATAGTGATGTTATCCTCAGGAGCAGTTTGTGGAGGGTCCGAATCTTGTTGCCTCAAACCACACGATTCCTAAACTATAATTTCTAACCTGTGGCTACTTTGTTAGTCCTACAAAGGCAGTCTAGTCCCCTGGCAGGAAGGGTATTTTTTTGTTTGGGGTAGGAGAGGGGAAAGGGTGTTTATCGACTTTGTTTCAAAGTTCAACTATAATCAAAGTTCCTCCCAAAGTTAGTTTGGCCCATGCCCAGGAATGAACAAGGACACGTTGGAGGTTAGAAGCAAGATGGAGTTGGTTAGGTCAGATTTCCTTCACTGTAATAATTTTCTGTTATAATGTTGCAATGGCAATTTCAATACTCCTAACATTTTCCAGAGATTTTAACATAATGTCTAAAGTCTAGTATAATGACTTCCACTATCACCGCTACATAGATAGACACATGAGCAGTGGTGTGTCCAGCCTCATATTCATGAGCTCCTGTTCTTCATTCCCAACTTCTTACCAGGCATTTTCACCTCAGTGTCGCCAACTGAAACCTCAAAGTTATATTCAAGTCTAACATTACCTTCTCCCCAAAATCTGTTCCTTATACTATGTTCCCTATTCTAGCTAAGTTGAACTATTTACTTGTTCTCTTTGTTCAAAAGATGTATTTATTTCACAAATTCTTCTCTATCTATATTAAATGGATAGTCAAGTTCTATAGATGATCATGTTTTATTTCTATTTATACTTTCTATGGTTCTCATTATTATCTCTAACTTATCATTTATTTACTCTGTGTAAGCCATCCAAAAGGTATTTCTGGAGTAAGGCAGAGAAAACAAACTTCTCTCATAGGACCTAAATTATATTCCATTCAAACTAAAATTATTACTGACATAGGATAGTTCCCTTGACCTTGAGCCCCTTTTGGGGGCAGGAATTGGAGTGGCTCGTTTCACTCAGCTTACTGCTGGCCACTCCTTTTGAGAGGGGAGTGTGTCAGCAGGTGAGTGTGGGAACCAGAGGGAACAAATGCTGATGCAAGCTCTGACGGGAGCAGGCTCTGTGTGGGCCCTGCAGCAGTATTCAAGCCCCTGCCTCTCAGCACCCAGGTTCTTGTCCAGGCTGTTCAGGAAGAATCAGGTCATTCGAATGGATTGAAGGGTTGCATATGCAGAGATTTTCACTGGGTGATGGATGTGGCTCTCAGTGGAATGGGGAGTTGGAAAGGGGATGGTGCAGGAAGATGGTGATCTTTCCCTTAAACCATGCCATCTGAAGTTAGCCACATCTATCCATAGTCTCCAAGACTCAGACACTCGTATCCATGACATTCAGCAAATTGTATCCTCGATGACACTCAGCAACTTGCACCCCTGAGTCCTTGCATCAGCCACTTGTGTTGCTCTGCCAGCTGAAGTCTTTTTATTGGCACAGGATAGGAGTGTGGCAGGCCAAAAAAGCAAGACTTGGGTGGAAAAACGGGGTCTTCTGTTTTCACTTAGGGTCATAGTTCCATGCTTAAGGGTGGGGTTTATCCTGGAGTCCAGCCATTCTGTATCATTATTATTATTATTATTATTATCATTATTATTTTGCCCCATATAATGCACACAGCTATGTTTTGATTACACTCTTACTTTGTTCCTGTCCTTTCTCAGCACTTTCAAACAGACCCGACCTATTCATTGTTTACATGCCTTTGAAGGCTAAGTCACTCCATCTTGGATGCTAAGCTCCAGTCGCTTAACTCCAGTTCCAGGAATGCATCAAGATTTCCACTTTCAAGTACTTACTGTAAATCCTGCCCTTAGGTTAAAACTATCTTGATGTTATTATAAACATAGTCATAGCATAAATCCTGCCCTTAGGCCAATTCCCTATTCAAACTAAAATTATTATAGAGATAAGGATAGTTACTATTGTATATAAGCCTGGGGTTTGAGGAGTGACTGCCTGGGAATCCACCATCTTGTCTCATGGTAGTCAGAGATATGGCTTCAGTTCATAGATCTCTATTAAATGTTTCTTTCTCAGAAACTCAATTTGTCAGCCTCTTTCTTCTGCCTCTCACCTTTCTTGGTTTGGGGGGATAGGTTTTGATAGACCTGCTGATATGGTTTGGCTGTGTCCCTGGCCAAATCTTATCTTGAATTTCCACAGGTTGTTGGAGGGACCTGGTGGGAGGTAATTGAATCATGGGGGTAGGTATTTCCTGCGTTGTTCTCGTGATACTGAATAAGTATCATGAGATCTGATGGTTTTAAAATCAGGAGTTTCCCTGCACAAGCTCTCTCTCTTTGCCTGCTGCCAACCATGTAAAATGTGACTTGCTCCTCCTCACCTTCCACCATGATTATGAGGCCTTCCCAGCCACATGGAACTGTAAGTCCATTAAACCCTTTTTCCCACATAAATTGTCCAGTCTCAGGTATGAGCAGCATAAAAATGGACTAACACACCTGCTCACCAAGGAACAATGCCTCTAGGACATCTCCAAGTTCTTATCTCTTATTGCTGCACTCCTACTTACTATTCCCTGCTAGTATCTGTCACATGGCTGCATGCCGGACTAATCTCTGATGCTTTCCTCGAGTTCTTTGCTCTGAGTCTTCTCCAGCTTACCTTCCCAACACTTCCCCATAGGCTTAGAACTGATGCTTGTCTCTCAGCCTAGGTAGCCACATGCAAGAACATGAAGAACCAGAGCCACCCAGTAGGAAGGCAAGATCAGCTATTCTCATCATACCTAAAAGGCTTTTGCTCTCTTTTACATGTTTCTAAATCCTAATCATTCTTCAATTTCTTGTGATCATCTCTCACCTATAGCCTTTCATAACCCCCCTCCTCCTATGACCAAACAGCTTTATTCTGAAATATGTAACACTTAAATTTATTTTAAATAAAATTCTTGTCTCTTACTATTGTAAGAACAAATACAAATTTTTTAAAGAGGCTTCATTCTCTCTGTAAAAAAAAGGAAAGAGATTTTCCTCCATTCCTTTTTCAGCATTTACTTTAGAAAACTTGTAATTTTAAGTACTTTCTTCTCTCTTTGACATGTATATAAATCCTCTTGAAGACTAAGTCGGCCATTTGTCAGCTTTATGATCTAGGAGTGTCTTTTTCAAAGGCACAGAAGACATCTCTTAGAAATGTAAACATCAAGGGAGACAGCACCACTATTTCCCAGTTTCTGCAGAAGGGTACGAGCCTAATTTAAGGGGGCACCTTTCCTCAAGTTGCAAAACTACTTCCTGCCATTAAGTTATAAGTTTTATTTCCCTCTCATTAAAGCCAGTTGGCTAACACAGATGATTAACCTCAGTTACCAGGTAAAGTTAGGATGAATGATGTGCAGCAAATGATGCTATGAAGTTTTCTTACTTGAAGACTAGTTATTGTTTATCTTGGGAAGATGTATGAAATGGGTTGCATCTGCTTGACTGTAAGAAAGTCTGTCTTTGCAATCTCTTAGTCAATTGCCAGGGTTGTGCATCACATTTTGAATTAATGATTATTCAGTATTAAGAGTCTTCTTATACCTTAAAAAACCATTGAAAATGGGAGTTTGGGGGGAGAAGTTACATGTATTTTTTTTAATATTTTTTTTCTCTACTAACTTCATGGAGGGGATTTCTGGTTGGGAAGAGATTTCATTTTCAAATATATTTCCCCAACACTCTATCCCATAGATATTTGGGGTATTTTATATCCCTTACAATCTACTATAATAAGTCTGAACACCTAAGATACTGGATGTTCAAGTAACGCAATATTACCAACTAACTGATATGGTTTAGCTCTGTGTCCCCACCCAAATCTCATCTCAAATTGTAATCTCCACTTGTTGAGGAAGGGATCTGGTGGGAGGTGATTGGCTCATGGGGGTGGTTTGCCCTATGCTATTCTTGTGATAGGCAGGGAGTTCTCACTAGATCTGTTTGCTTGATAAGTGTCTGGCATTTCTCCTGTGCTCTCTCTCTCTCTCTCCTGCCTCCTTGCAAAGAAAGTGCTTGCTTCCCCTTCACCTTCAGCCATGGTTTTAAGTTTCCAGAGGCCTCCCCAGCCATGTGGACCTGTGAGTTAATCAAACATCTTTTGTTTATAAATTACCCAGTCTCAGGTAGTATCTTTATGGCAGTATGAAAACAGATTAATATAGTAATCTACAATTATATACTGTTATCATAATTACATTCTTTGGATAGGTGTCAGTATAGTCTCTAAAAGTTAAAGGCAATGAAGGGTACATGTACACAGACATGCCCACACACACCCCTTGTTATCAGGCCATATGTTATAATGAAAGCGAGTATCTTAGGGAAGCCAGTATCTGACTTTATTCTGTCACTTTACAAATATTGTTTATGAAGCAAACAAAATGTTTTACAACCTACATGGTAACAAGATACAGTCCAAGCTCTTCCCTTTTAAGTACTCCAAAAAGTACCTGACCTGGAATTTCATTCAAGACAGTTTCTACAATAAACCTAGATTCAAATAACTAGTAAAGTGTCAGATGACAAAATACTCCATGTCCCTGAACAGAGTTTAGATGGAAACCTTAAATCTAGATTATATTTCTGAAAGGCATAAACTATTAAAATTATTATTTTATGTGATTCCTAAAAAGTAGAAGTATATTTCCAGTGAATCCACATCTCTTGAATACTACTCATTTCACTTAAAAAAACAACAACAACACTTCAGTTTGATGGAAGACTTTAGTTGTCCATCAGCTACAGGGCACACCTGCTGGGTTAATGGGAATTCAGATAGCTGGACCACTTCCGTAGTGCAAGCTTTTGATGGGCCTCTCAAATGCTGATTGCCCTTAAAGTGTGTATTCCTGATCACTGTAGTTCAAAAGGAACTAACCACCCTAGGGTGTAGATCAAAACTGAACAACAAATGCATCGTTTACCATGTTTTTGCTAAAGCATTTTAAAGTAAATTATAGGCAATATAACATTTATGCATTCAAATTTAATTAGAGCTGCCTTGAAACTTCACACAGAGCAGGAAGTCTCCTCCTTCAGACCCTGGAAGAATCTTGTATACCAACATTACAGTCCTCCAAACAGCCCAAGCCTAGATGTTTTTTCTTTGCAATCTAGACTCTCTCCCTTGGTGAGCTCATCAGGTCTCGAGGCTTTAAATGTCATCTATAACCCAACACTTCCAAATTTATGTCTCCAGCCTGGACCTCTCATGTAACCTCTGGGCTTGTTCATCTCATTGCCTCCTTGACATCTCCACTTGGATATTTAATAGACATCTTACATTTATTATGCCAATAACTGGGCACATGTATTATATCTTTTTTACGCCAGCAGTGTTTAGCTTAGTGTCTAACATTCAGTAAATGGTCATTTAACATTTTTTACTGATTGAACTTGTAATTTTTAACTTCACACACAACCAAACATTCCAGAAAAATAAAGTAATTTTATCCCAATTACATTTAGTGTCAAATCTTATTGAGAATATGTTCTGGGGGCATAAATATTACAGTTAATAATTCCATTGAAATTTCTGACCTAATCTCATTTTATCTCTGACAAAAGAAAAGTGAAGTCAGTATACGGAGATATCTGGCATTAATTTGCTAACAATACATTGCTACAAGTCATGGGAAAATATCTGTCAACTGTATCAAAATTATCATATTATCACAAGCCACGTCATTACCCCTAGACAAAGAAAAATATTGTGGAATTTGTTAGATTTGTCTCTAAGATTTAACAAAGTTTAAAAATGCAGTTTAATTCAATAAACACACATTGAGGGCTTCCTGTGTACCAGATACTACTGCTGGCACTCTGGAAAGCATGATGATGCAGTTTTCTTTCCCTTTTGTTTCCCTCAGAAAGAGGTGAGAAGAAAGGTGGTATGACCATCAGCTGCAGAGACATAGATCGTTCACTGCCATGAATCTAGGCATTTTCTTGTCTGCTTCTCTAAAGTTGTGCTGTTTATGAAATCAAGCCATAGGGAAGTACATAATTAACACTCCCTAGTGAAAATGAATATGACGTGGAGGGCGGTGGCATATTCAGTGGAGTGTTATCCTATGTGAGAAGATCGGAGGACCTGAACAAAGAAGCATCATTTACAGACAAGGCCTCCTAAGTAGATCCAGGAAAAGAACAGAGGTAAAGGACCGTGGCTGAGACAAAGTGAAATTTGTAATAATAATTGTTGCTATTATTATTACCAGCCTTTTGCGTCCAAGAAACTGTTCAAAGTACTTTAGATATAGGCAAGTCATTAGTTAGCACAAGAGCTCTGTAAAATTGATAGCATTTACCATCCAATTTTATAGACAAACTAAGGCAAAGGGAGGTTAAGCAATTTACCCAATGTCAGAATTCTTTATATTTAAATACAACACATGAATATTTATATCTACATAATTCCTGTTTTCAGAAATACCAATGGCAGACTTATAATGATAAGAAAAAAAGCAAAGTTTACTTATCTAAAAGATACAGAGCTGAATTTCCATAATAAGGACATAAAAATAAGAAATCAGCTACATTTTTTCAGGAAAGGCAGAAATACAAGCTTTCCTACCCCAAAATGCTCACGAGGGAACACCTAGCTGAGAATGAAACACATGAATGAATGAGACTTGTATGAATCTAGAGGAACTGTATATCTCAGTTCCCACAGAAAAGTTTTGGTTTAAAACTGCTATCCCTGCATAATTGTTACCAGTGTCCTTCAAAAATTTCCTGTTTGTACAGTACATTAAGTGATCACTGTCAAAACCATTCTTCAGAAAATCTAACTGGTCTCTTAGTTGTATGTGCATACAATGAGACCAAATGTACATATGCTACCTGAGCACATGGGAGCGGAGGGCAGCAGCCTCACCTCATCTGGGCAGGGTACCCCTCACCGATCTCGAGGTTGTACATACCCGGCATTACACTTGAGACCAGAGGGTGCAAGACACTCAGAAATGTGCACCTTCCTCTATTAGGTTTTCGTTTCTAACAAAGCTTGATCCAAAAATCTTTCTGTATTCAGTGATGAACGAAAAAAAAGTCAGTTACCTAAACATCTCTGACAGGCTAAGCGGCTCATTGGTCAGTTATAAGGCATATCTTTGTAAGATCACTTGCACATTATTTTGTTAATTACCTTCTTAATATAGCCTTCTGCCAGAGTACTTTTTTAAAATGTCTATTGGAGGAAAAAAGGAAACTAAAAATCAAAATATGTGTGCGTGCACCCACACACCAGCACACAATTATTGCTGAAAGAAACACGTACCAATCAAAAAAGTGGTCCTTAAAACTCATATTCAGGTCATTATAGGACAATGATAAGTACCAGAAAAGCCCTGTGTCTACTAGAACTATTATTTCCTAGTAGAAGCTCAAAAACCAAACCAAACCAAGAAACAAAGTTCTTATTAAAGTAATATAGAAATATGTGTAAAAATATCTAAATGAATATTATCTATACTATATGTGTATGCTTTAGGAGGTGAGTGATGGAAGCATGGCAGCAGTTACATGTTTTGAGAAAGCACAGACCAAACATGTCTCCCTCTTAAATTTATGAATTTCAAGGCAAATTCATTTCACTGAACCAATAACCGAACTGTGGACAATTCTCAGACACCAAAAGAAATAGCCAATTTAAAATGTTTTCCTGAAGCATATGTACTTAATGTGTTATTTTGATGGTGTCACATTCAATTGTAAACATCCTAATTGGAATTTTTTTATATTTCAGTTTTCTTTTGTAAAATGTCCTATGGTTTTATTGTTACAAATAAATGCACTGTTTGGAGAGAGGCAAAGAAAAAGATGTTTTGAAAAGAGAAAAAAGATCACAGGAATTCATGCTTTTAATTTACAAATCAAACCCCTTACCATGTAGACAAGACTCCTCCATGTCTTATCTCTGCTTACCTTTCTAGCCCTACCTTGCTGTCTAACTACCCACACCATCCTAACAGTTAAATCTCCCTTGCTGTTTGACCCTGCTCATAGAAGTATCTTGCCTAAATCTCTAAATGGTTATACAAATCACAACTTGTAGACAACTTGAAGACAGCAAATTCATTTCCTCATGCTCCCCTTCAGCACAGAGCATGCTACCAAGCCCACAGTGGTTTCTTAATGAATATTTGTAATATGAATAAGTGAAAAGTTACACTCAGTGTTTTTGCTTAAAACAGGCCAGGTGCAGTGGCTTACGCCTAATCCCAGCAATTTGGGAGGTTGAGGCGGTAGTATTGCTTGAGCCCAGGAGTTTGAGACCTGACTGGGCAACATGATGAGACCCTATTTCTACAAAAAATAAAAAAAGTTAGCCAGCTCTGGTGGCACTCACCTGTGATCCCAGCTATTGGGGAGGCTGAGTTGGGAGGATCACTTGAGCCCAAGAGGTCAAGACTGCAGTGAGCCATGTTCACAACACTGCACTCCAGCCTAAATAACGGAGCAAGACCCAGTCTCAAAATAAAAATTATATTTAGTCATCTTAACATAGTCAAATAAGTTTGAGGGATTTTTTTAAACCTTGGGTGTGAATTTCTAACAAAATCATGTTTTGTGAATAACAACTGTAGTTTTGCGCTCCATACACAAAACAGTTTTTTATTAATCATTAAATAATTAAAAAGAATTAGAAAAAGTCCAGACATAGATAATCTCAGAATCTCTTAATAATAAAGTATATCCCTTATTTTTCCAACTTATCTTTATCTTTTAACAAGGATTGCTGTATCAGCACGTGCACACGTGCACACACACACACACACACACACAGAGGCATGCTTACATTTTCCTTTTTTTCCTTATTCTCCCCCCTACAGAGTAAGATGTGGTTATTAGTCAGTCAATCAGTCAACCTATGAAATGCAAATAGCAGTTCACAGTGATTTTTTTCAGCCTTCTTAGTCCAGGTAGCAAAAATAAAATATATTTCTCAGAGAAAAATCAAATGAACCTCATGTGAATAAATGGTTTTCTTTACCATTTTCATCTTTTTTTAAAAAAAGCACAAATGCTTTTAGCTGGAAATTACTTTCTTTGACTAAGTTAGTATCATGCCGACTGACCTTTACTTTATTGTTCCACCAGCTCGCTGGCATTTTAATGTTTTGGCCTGTAATAATAGCCTTGAAGACTGGAATGGGCTTGCTGAAACAATTTTCTCCCTAAGGATTTAAAAAGCAGTCTTTATTTTTCACATACTCAAAACAAAGTACTTAAAAAAATAAAATGGAAATACAGTTAGATTAGAAAGTGGGCTTACATATGTATTTTATCTTTAAGTACTGAATGAAAAAGAACACTGCATATAGACTTTTTTAAATTTTATTATTATTATACTTTAAGTTTTAGGGTACATGTGCACAATGTGCAGGTTTGTTACATATGTACATTTCAAAATTTTCCTTTTAAGCTTAACTGATTTCTGGGTTTAGGATCAAATGCAATATATTATAAGAACATGATCTTTTCCTTGCAGCACTTTCTGGGATGAAGAATTCTAGGACAGTGCAATAAGAGGTCAGAATTTTTCATATGTGTGTACATTTTGCTCTCTTGGAAACATCCTTCTGCCTGGCTCTAACCTGACTGTGTTTATCATCTGTCTTCAAAAACTTGACTTTCTCTGGTTCCACAATTTTCTTTGGTATAGCCTTTCAGCTGTTTCCCAAATAAAAAACGAATAAAAAAGAAAATAAAAGCCTTTTCCTAGTTGCAAAACAACCTTTTCCTGCTGAGCTAATGTATTTCTCTCTCCTGTCACAGAGAGGAAACCAAAAATACTCATAAACTCTCTATCCCCAAACGTCTGCAGATGTTCCCTTCTCAAAGATTTGTGACTGTAATAGTCTCCCCAAATTCTTATTTTTTATGTTAAAATATTATATTTTTATATTTTATATTTAAAATTGTTAATAACAATTCAAACAAAATGTATCAATATGAAATGTAAAACTGTTTTTGTCAATTTTTTAATTCGCCAATATGTACCCATCAATAGATTACCTAAGATTTTGTTTAATTAACATCACTGATAAAAATGACAAATTTGTTGAAAGAAGAGATCATGTTCTTAGTAAATAATTGATCATAAGTATATTTTCTAAATAATCATGAGTGTACTATTCAATAAGACCATTTTGAGCTTTTGTGATGGATTAAATATTCAGAATATGGTCTTTAGTTAACTAATCAGTAAGTATTTTTTAAAAAAAAAAAAGCATAGCATTCAAGAAACTGTCTTAGGCACAAGCGTAGAGTTTTGTTTTTTTTTTTAATCATAATACACAAAATTCCCACCCAAAGAAAAGAATACACTCTATTTGTGAGATGAAATAATAAGAGAAATAGCAAGTAAAATAGAACTATGTACAGGTCCTAGCCAGACTGTACACATAGCCTACATAAAAGAATAGTATAGCAAAAACAGTAAGTGAAGAAGGAATCTAAGAATGAGATTATCATGAGCCAAAGGCAATAGAGAAAGGTCATAATGAATCCCCCAACTGTTGCTGGATTCCTCCCTCCACTAGTGGTCTTTGACAAGCTTCTGGATTGTGGTTGCTCAGTTCTCATTTTTGTTTCTCTCATGACCAAAGACTAATAATTTCCCGCAATTGTCCTTTATGTTCTATTTATTCAACACCCAAGCACATAGTCTCACAACATTTTAAAGCTTTCAAACTGAAACTATCCCCACTAACACCTTCACCAAACCCCTGGTGGTCACTGTCTAGAATTTATCATCTTTATGGAAAATATGTAATCCTATAATATCCTAATCCTTTACCACAGTTTTCTATATCAATATCTCTCCACTTATATACACTCCTTGACCACATCCACTTCAGCTTCTTATTCCCCATCCTCTCACACTAATTATTTTCTTCAATTTTCTCAGTGTCTGCCTGATCTTGTTTTCTTCCCCATGGCCGATGCCTTCAACTCCCCACAGCCCGGTCCTTTCTTCATGTCTCTCCTGAAAATCATCATCTCTTCTTTTACTAGTCCAGGACTTAGATACCTAAGTGCTATTATAGAAAATCCCCAATTCTTGTGTATTATTAGTACTAAAAATACTGTTTAATGAAAGAAGATAGACTGTGAAAAGGGAAGCATAAGGCACTTGTTTATTCCAAGCCTTGGATGGAGTGCCATAAAATTGATGTGCTGGTTAACATCACAGAATAGACTTTGACTGTGACTTTTGGCAGAAAATATTCAGAGAAGCAATTGTTGCCAAGTTAAAGTAGATGAGGAGATGAATCTGGGGTGGCAAATAGGTAGCAATGATCATACTATGTATTCCCATGAGGATTGGCAGTAGACGAAATGAAAGATAAATTGGTAGTGAAAGAGAGAGGTGAGGTCAAAGAAATTCTTCCTGTAGGTATGGGTGATATTTAACTGTATGGGATAGTGAGAAGAAGCTAATACAGACAGAAATGTTGACAATAATGGAGAGAAAAAGCATCAATTGATATACCAAAATATCAAGTAAATTGGTAAGAAATGAGATCAAGAGTCCAGTTAAGGAAGAATACCTTTTATTCTAGAAAACTGAGGAAAGGAGATTACAGTAAAAGAAGATTTAGATGAGCTTTTAGGTAAAAGAGATACAGTTGAAGGAGTTACCAGCTGAGGGTCTGGGGTGTGTACGTGTGTGTGTGTGTGTGTCTGTGTGTCTGTGTGTCTGTGTGTCTGTGTGAACTAGAATCTAAGAGAGACATAGAAAAACTGTCAAGCACCACTCAAGGTACAAATAAGACTAAAACGCACTCATTCATGGTATCAAGAATACACACAGTTGTGTGTTTTTCTATAATAACTTTCTATGATGTATCAGGTACTGTGCTAATAGCTATATTCAGGTCACTTTACTTCAACCTGCTTATGCTTCTTTCCCAATTCTTTGTTCCCACCATGTTTCCTGTGAAAAGATTCACAAGATCCCCTCTTATCTAATGCTTTGTAGCACTTCTGTAATCTTGACTGCTGGTGTGATTCAAATGTATCCTTTGGTTGCCTGGTTTCTACTCAGTCTTCTAACCCACAGCCTGTACCAGCTCTATCTCTTGAATCCTATATGACATAAGCTCATCAGATTCTCTATATCCCCTTGAAAAGGAAACAGAAGAGCAAAGAACATTCTTTGGGCTTTGCTTGATTTGAGTCTCTATAGCATTTGGTGCCCTAATATTTTCTATTCCTAGATTTCATTCATCTATCTGTAGTGTCTCCCTAATGCTGACGACAGATATGAAACAGGTATTATTGAAAGTCACCATCTAAGATTATCTAAAATGCCTGATTTACCACCTCAGTAGTAAAACAGCAGAAGTCTATTTGTGAATCCCGCCAGCCAGAAAGGAAAGAGTTACTAATGTGCACTGATTAGTAGGATGCTTAAGATTTGGGAGCACAGTAAGAAAAAAGATAAATGAATGAATAAAATGGAATCAAAAAATGATATGAGGAGAAAACTAATAATAAAATGGTAGACTTAAACTAAAATATGTCAGCTTTTTCTGTGTTTACCATCACATCCTTTAACTTAAATAGTAATCAAGGTTTAGACCTGGTATGCTAAGAAAACAACTGAAACTCAAAAACCATTAAATAGGCAAGGAACAGTGGCTAATGCCTGTAATCTCAGCACTTTGGGAGGCTGAGGTAGGAGGATAACTTGACCTCAGGAGTTCGAGGTTGCCATGAGCTATGATCATGCCACTGCACCCTAGCCTCGCCAACAGAGTGAGACCCTATTAAATAAATAAATAATAGCCATTTAATTCACTTTCTCTTTACAAAATGTAAACAACTTTAATAACTCCAAACTGAGTAAATTGTTAATTATACAAAGATTTAAAATTTATGTAATAAAAATTAGCTGACATAATCTACGAAATTTCTATGTGAGTTTCTCAAATGGAAATAGAACTTTTAGTGGTACATCGTGTGAAGGGGGAACTTGAGGTAAATGCAAAAGAGCAAATCATGAATTAGGAAATAACTTTCTCTGGAGTTGTTTGTTCAGTAACTTATTGTTATTAGGAAGAAATGTATGGCATAGCACAAGAACACACTCCTTAAAGTCAATTAGCCATGCACTGAAACTCAGCTAGGACTGTTCCTGCTGTATCACACTAAAGCAAGTTTCTTAATTTTGGTGCATTTCCTCCTGTGAAAACCGGACAAATACAATCTGTAAACCATGGATTACAATCCTTTTCACAAGGTAGTGATGATTAAGTGAAATAATATGCATAAAGTTATTGGCACATAATTATTACTAATAGATGCAAGTTCCTTGTTCCTTTTTGCCCAGTCTGAAGTGACACTCTACCTTAATTTTTTTGGCTTTATATTTATTGAGAAAGACAGCTGTTTTTCCTGTAATTAATTATTAGAGAAGTAACTGCCCCTCTCCACACCACACCCCACCCCACCCCACAACCATATGGCTATTATGGTATAGTGACTTTTACTCCCATTAACCTAATGTATTCTTTTTTATTGTTCTATGTTGTACCTATAAATAGATAAAGCTAGTATACCTATGTTAGACTATATGATTGAATATGTGAGGAGAGACTAAGACACAGCCAGAGACTAAAGGCAAGAAGGCCAATTAGCAATTAACAATTTTGGGGAAATAAAGATATAAATTTGTGTAATAGCAGTAGAATAATAAACATATATCTTTGAATAAATAAAGAATTATAAGTAAAGTTTTTAAAAAACCAAGATAAGTGGTTCATCTTTATTATAAAGAGTGACTTTGGCCTATTTACCAAGTCACAAAGTCTTTACATAGATTAACACATTTTATTAAACCCAGTAAATCTTGACTATTTTGCAATTGAACAGAGAGTTTAGCAGTATTATATATCCTCTCATCTATGCGTACATCTTATATTGAAAGTTTTTTTTTGCTTTTTCTTTAATAATTTCGTGTTTAATTTAAAATATAATTATTTAAGTTATTAGTAAATGATTAGTGAGTAATGATGGACAAGTCAAGGCCTTGAAAATTAGACAACATGTAAAAAGAAATCTGATTAAAGGCATTAGTGGGCTAACAGGTTAAACAGTCATAAAGCTCTTTATCTATGAGAAGGAAACCTAGAGTGGTGAGCCAAGTATCTGGGATCACTTTTTCAATGTCAGAATGTTCTAATTACTGAAGAGATAGCTGAAAGGTTAAAAGCTTAGCAGAGATATTTTTTTATTAGCCTCTCAGAGGCTGACTAGAGGGAAAAATATAAAAGAGGTAGCCTTGCTAAACACTTCTCTTTTTTACACCCTGGAATAATAGTAAGATAAAAAAAATAGACCTGCCCTGTAGGACCTGCTGTCAAGTTTCAAAAATTTCCTCATCTCAATTGGATTAAAGTCATTTGAAATTGCTGCATCTCTAACTCGTCTACCAAAAGAAAACTCGAACTCTCTATTGACACACAAACTCTTACCTCGGTTTCAGATTACTGCTATTATATTTTATTTATAATATCTGCCACAAAATAAATAGTAAGACACATGAGTAAACAGGATAATATAATTTTAAAACAGCAGGATAAAAAGACATAAAAACAGAACCATACAGTATACAGATAATGGTGGTATCAAAGATTTTTAAATAACTATATGTAATATATTCAGAGAGATTTTTTAAAGCTTGATAGTTTTAGCAAATAATTTAGACAATTAAAATAATTGAATGAAAATTTGATAACTGTGAAACATAGTAATCAAAATTAAAAACTCAACGGATGGATTAACATCAGGTTAGACAAGGTATCTAAAGAGTGAATCAGTAACCTGGAATATAGCTCTGAAGACAATATTTACTATAGAACCCATAAAACAAAATGGTGGAAAAAAGATCAAATGATAAGAAATATAAGAGCTAGAATGAGAAGTCACTATATATGTAATTGATACCCCCAAAGAGTGAAAAAGCAGAAGGGTATAGAAAAAATAAGCTTAATAGCTAAAAATTTTTCAAAACAACCAAAAAGCATTATGCTTCAAGCCCCAATATTCTACAGGCGCTACAAACCCCAAGCAGGGTAAATCAAAAGACATCTACAGCTAAGTATATCCTAGTAAAACTGCTGAAAACCAGCATCCAGAATCTACAATGAACTCCAACAAATTTACAAGAAAAAAACAAACAACTCCATCAAAAAGCGGGCAAAGGATATGAACAGACACTTCTCAAAAGAAGACATTTATGCAGCCAAAAAACACATGAAAAAATGCTCATCATCACTGGCCATCAGAGAAATGCAAATCAAAACCACAATGAGATACCATCTCACACCAGTTAGAATGGCGATCATTAAAAAGTCAGGAAACAACAGGTGCTGGAGAGGATGTGGAGAAATAGGAACACTTTTACACTGTTGGTGGGACTGTAAACTAGTTCAACCATTGTGGAAGTCAGTGTGGCGATTCCTCAGAGATCTAGAACTAGAAATACCATTTGAACCAGCCATCCTATTACTGGGTATATACCCAAAGGATTATAAATCATGCTGCTATAAAGACACATGCACACGTATGTTTATTGCGGCACTATTCACAATAGCAAAGACTTGGAACCAATCCAAATGTCCAACAATGATAGACTGGATTAAGAAAATGTGGCACATATACACCGTGGAATACTATGCAGCCATAAAAAATGATGAGTTCATGTCCTTTGTAGGGACATGGATGAAGCTGGAAACCATCATTCTCAGCAAACTGTCTCAAGGACAAAAAACCAAACACCACATGTTCTCACTCATAGGTGGGAATTGAACAACGAGAACACATGGACACAGGAAGGGGAACATCACACACTGGGGCCTGTTGTGGGGTGGGGGGAGGGGAAAGGGATATCATTAGGAGATATACCTAATGTTAAATGACGAGTTACTGGGTGCAGCACACCAACATGGCACATGTATACATATGTAACTAACCTGCACATTGTGCCCATGTATCCTAAAACTTAAAGTATAATAAAAAAAAAACTGAAAAACCAAGGACAAAAATAAAACTTTAAAAAAGCAGCCAGAAAGGGGAAAAAAGGCCACATGGAGCAACAACTTGATTGACAGCTGACTTCCTAACAAAAACAAAGTCAGAAGAAAATGCAATTGCATTTTCAAAATGTTGCAGGAAAATAACTGCCAGCCTAATATTCAAACACCAATACAAATATTGTTCCAGGATAAAGATAAAATAAAAGTCCCCAGTGGGGACTTTTTGCATGTATGTTTTGTATGTGTGTTTCCCAGTGGACTCACAATGTAAGAAATGTTAAAAGATCTTCAGTCAGAATGAAAATAATTCAACATTGAGATCAGTAATTAAAGGAAAAATGCAAAACAGTAAAAATGGTAAGTATTTAGAGAAAGCTAAATTACTATTGACTACTTAAAACAATGATTTTGTGGGTTAAAATGTATGAAGAATTAGAATACGCAATTGTACTAGAAAACAATAGTGATTTTCTAATAGCTATTGTTTTCTAGCATAATTGCATGGAGTGCAACAGAAATTGTGCCAAGAGACTAATGAATAGCCACATATATTAAAAACAGGAAGAGCTAAAAGCAAATGGCCTAAATATCAAAAAGTTAATGATAGAACAGAGTTATAAACACAAACAGCATAGACAGAAGGAAATAATATGAATAATGTAGAAATTAAAGAAATTTAAGGCAAATCTACAATAGAGGAAATCAATAAAACCAAATTATGTTAATATCAATAATAAACATATATGTAAAAATTTCTAAATAAATATTAACAAACAAAATTTAGAAAAATATAGAAAAAGTTAATATACTATAACCAGTTCATATTTGGTCCTGGAATAAAAAGCAGATTTAATATTAAAAAACTACTCAATATAATTTACCCCATTAACTGAATGAAAAAGAAAATCATATAATCATCTCAATAGTTGCAGTGAAAGTATTTAATAAAAATCAACATCCAATTATAATATAACCCCTCAGCAAAAGAGAAATATAAGGTAATATCTTTAAATTATTAGAGGATGCTTACAAAAGAATCTTTACCAAACATCACACTTAGTAATAAAATGTTTACAGCTTTGTTCCTAATGAAAACAAGATGAGAATGTCTTCTGTCACCACCATTTTTAACATTTTACTAGAGATCCTAACCAGTGCCATCAGACAGAAAATAATTAAAATTTTATGTATTGGAAATAAAAATAAAAATTTTTCATTATTTGCAGGCAATCTCATTATATAGGAAAAATTCCCAAAGGAAATATATAATAAATTATTAGAATTAATAAATGATTTTAGTAAGATCGATATTCAATAATCAATTGTATGTCTATAAACCACAACGAAAATTTTAAAAACATTATTTATAACCGTATCAAAAATACCAAATACATATAGAACATTTTTGTTTAAAAGGTGCATAATTTCTGCATGGAAACTATAAAACAATAGATTTAAAAATTTAGGAAACCTGTTTAAAGGGATTAATAGACATTTCACAAAATAGAATATCCAAATAGCCAACGAATACAAGAATAGGTGACAAGGCTCTTTAGTAACCATGGAATAACATATACCTACCAAAAGAGATAATATTATAAAAACACGCAATAGCAAGTATTGCCGAAGCTAGGGAACAATGAAACTCTGATAGACTACTGGTGATACGTAAATTGGTACAACCACTCTGGAAAACATTTCAATGTTATTATTAAAGTTGAACATATGCATGAACTCTTACCCAGTAATTCTACTCCTGGTTATAAATCCAACAGAAATCTGTAAACATGATGAACCAAAAGACTTGTTTGAGAATGTCCACAGCATGATTGCCAAAAACTGAAAACAACCCAATGACCATTAACATTAGAATACATCAGTTGTCGTATATTTTACAATAAAATGATGAGCAAAAGAAGCCAGACATAGAAGTATATGTGGCGAAATTTTACTTATCTAAAGTTAAAAATACACTCAGCTATTAGGTTGGATGTGAGGACAGTGGTTGCCTTTGGGGAGGATGGAGATGGTAATAATCGAGAAGGGAAATTAAGGATGTGGGGCTTGGGTTGAGCTGCCGTCAATGTTCTGTTCTAGACCTGGAAATGGTAACATATGTGTGTGATGTTTATATTCACTGAGCTATACTCATGTTTTGCATCCTATTCTGCACTTATTTTTCAATAAAAAATTTTTAAGTTTTTAATGCTCAACAAACAATCATTCAGTTTACTTTATGTATTAGGCATACACTTTGGAAGGATAATGGTATAAATATATTATTTCAGTTTTTTAAATCCCATGGTCCTAGTACCAATAAAATCATTACACAGCAAAGCTTATTATTTTATTTTTTCAATTATTTTTAGTACCTTGCGATTTGATACCAATTAAGACTTCAAAGCATACAGAATTTCACAGATGGGGCAATCAATGAATCTCTCTGTAGCAAACTATAGTTTGTGAAACATCATCCTAACCATAACACAAAAAGAAGGCTATTTTCTGTTTTCTGTTTTGTAGCCACATCTATAAAAGATTTAGCTAATATCCACAACTCTCTAGGTTATTATAAAATTACACACTTTCCCAAAAACCAGCAATTTACTGGAATCTTATGTCATCAAATATAAAGAAAAATGTAAGGAAATCAGAGAGTGTTCCTGAAAAACAATCAGGACTTTAGCTTCACATTAGATCTCTCTGAAGCTTTGGTGCCACACAGAGAAAGAAAAAAATCTAGGCTGATGGAGAAAACCACAAGTTGAAATCTACATAATGGAGCAGATAATTATAAAGTATTTCATATGATGTTTGTCAAAAAAGACTATGTATAAGCCAAATTCTACATCGGCCTCATTTTCATTATTGGTCAACTCTATGCAATCTCAACTCTGCAACCTCAACAGCATATAATATTTTTTGACTTTTTAATAATAGCCATTCTGACTAGCGTGAGATGGTATCTTGTGGTTTTGATTTGCATTTTCCCAATGATTAGTGATACTGAGCATTTTTTCATATGCTTGTTGGCCACATGTATGTCTTCTTTTGATAAGTTTCTGTTCATGTCCTTTGTCTACTTTTTATTGGGATTGTTTGTTTTTTGCTTTTTGATTTGTTTAAGTTTCTTATAGATTCTGAATATTGGACTTTTGGTGAATGCATAGTTTGCAAACATTTTCTCCCATTCTGTAGACTGTTTACTATGTTGATAGTTTCTTTTGTTCTGCAGAAGCTCTTTAGGTGAATTATGTCCCAATTGTCAATTTTTGTTTTTGTTGTAGTTGCTTTTGGAGTCTTCGTTATGAAGTCTCCAATGTTCAGAATGGTATTTCCTAGGTTTTCTTCTAGAGTGCTTAAAATTTTGGGTTTTACATTTAAGTCTTTAATCTATCTTGAGTTGATTTTTGTATATGGTGAATAAAAGGGGTTTGGTTTCAAATCTGCACTTGGATAGTCAACTATCCCAGCACCATTTATTGAATAGGGAGTCCTTTCTCTATTGCTTGTTATTATGGACTTTTATCAAAGATCAGATGGTTATAGGTGTACAGGTTTATTTGTTTTTGTTTTGAACAGAAATAGCCCTTAAGATTACAAATAACATTTACCTATATAAAGAAAATGTTATGGTATGGGAGGTGTTTGAAGCATTGTTTTACCTTGTTCTGTTTTGTTTGCAGCTAGGGACTAGAGTCAAAGGTAGGGAAGATGTCTGTAGGAAGTTACAGAGACCAAGTTGACAAGCCAATTCATTATGGGAGTTATCACCTATTTTCAAAATTTGCCTTTCCAATGAAGTGAAAATTAGTCAATGTATTTGAGGATGTAGTTCAAATACAGAATAAAGCCAATTTAGCGTGTGAGAAAAATGGGCAGTACTCTTCTCAATTCTCCCTGTTTTGGATTTTCAGTGGGCATCTCTACCAGTGCAGGATCTGCTGGCCTTCACGTTCATTCCTTGTCCTTCTGCTGCTTTCTCGGTGTCCTAGTGGGGGCTGATCCCTGCAGTTTGTATTTACCAGGCTCCCTGTCAGAAGACTCTAGGAAATCACTAATGGGAGATTGGAGCTAAGGAAGAAGAGAAAATCCAGGATGTTTTCCCTCTCTATCTGTATTATGAGTGTCTCTGGCAGATGCTGTGTTCCTTCCATGGTTTTAGCACTTGCCAGACAAGCTCTCTATGATTGTATCTTCCACCCAATGGCCCAGTAACTGAGTTAAGTCTCTGGGATCCAGTACCACTGTTTATTTTTGTCCCTCCAGCCCAGAGCTGGTAGCGGCTTTTAGTTCTTGCCGATCTCTGGATTGCTACACTGTCCCTGAGTTGGCTTCTCAGTCTCTTCCATCAGCTGGATAACCAGTTTCTTGTATTAAATTCCCTCTGTCTTAAATACCTAGAGTGTTTTCTATTTTCTTCATTGGTCCTTGACTAATAAATAGTCTATATTCATCTCTGTTATATTAATTTGCATAGTTTATTCATTTTCTCCATTGATCTTTGAAATCATTCCCTGTAATGCCTGTCACAGTGCCTAGCAGAAAATATTTCACAGATATGTAGAATTGCATTTCTGAAGAGAATTTTGTGAAGTTTAATATTTAATGGAAAATTAGAACATAATCAAGAACCTTAATTAGAGACATAGTCTTTCACAGTAAATGTAAAAGCAGCTATTAAAATTATCCAATAATGACTTATCTCATCATGACACTAATTGAGGGGAAGACCATGGCATAACCGACCTAATCCTACACCGAACTACCACAAATCCTTTTGGAATTAATAACAGTCATAACCCTTGTCATAGGTGAAAATGCAGCACTCTTAAGAGAACAGTAACATAACAATTGTAATGGTCTGTAATTTATACCATGATTTGTAAAATGCAGGCATTTTGTGATGGTTTCCATGGCTACATGGATAGAGAGAAGAGTGAAATTACAGGTGAAAATAAGCTATGACTGAACTGTAAAAAGTATAAAGAGTGACTCTGAGAATGAGGGGGAAATGTTTTAAAAAGTGAAGTGTTACGATTGAAGCCACATAATAAAACATGTGGTTGTTATTACAACTTGACAGTGTTGTGAGTAACAGGGAAATACTATCAGATAAAGTAAAAAGAAATGAGTTACTTAAAGCAAGTGAAAGATAAGTCTACAATTCATAGAAAGCAATCAGAGCTAGATACTCAGCAGCACTCCTGAGGGAAAGGCAAGCTTCCCTACTTTCAAGATTCCACCAAAGCACCCAGATTCTGGTACCACTGTCCCTCTCAACTGTTCTAAAGAATTAACTCTGCAAGTAACTTCAACTCTGCAAGAGTTGAAGAGAAACAAAGATAAAAACAGAATTTAATAAAATAGAAAAAAAACCCAGTCAAGAAAAAGATAAGCCAAAAGTTGGTTCTTTGAAAGGACTAACATCTAGTAAAATTTTAAAAAGAGAAAAAGCAGGAATATCAGGAATGAGCAAGAAGGTATTATTTAAGAGCCAAAAAAAAAACCAGCAAAGAGATCTTAATAAAGCATTTGAAGGACTTGTGCCAAACAATAGAAAACCTAGATGAATTGGACAAATTTTGGAATAACAAAACCTGCCAAAACTGACAGAAGAAAAAATTTAAAAATTGAGTAGTCTTTTATTTATTAAGGGAATTAAGTCCTTAATTAATCCTTCCAAAAAAAATACTTCAAGTCCCAATGATTTCAGTGGAGAATTTTTTAAACGACTGAAAGAAAAATAGCAATTGAATATAAAGTCTTCCCAAGAATGAAAAACAAAACAAATATTAGAACGTAATTCTATGAAGCCAGTATAACTGGTATCCAAACCTGAAAAATGTGTTAGAAGAAAGAAGAATTATAGGACAATCTCTCTAATCAATATAAGTGAAAAAAAATTAAATATCATATTAACAAATAAGAAACTATGAACCAAAAGGTCATGGTCTCAGGACATTGTCAGCCAGACATACAACACTTCTCTCTTAACCCAAGCTGGAGATCACATGATTCTTCATTGAAAAAAGCACAAAATATTTTTCCAAGATCTTAATATTTCCACACAAAAAGGCTGGCTTAATAACATAATTATACAGTAAAATCCATCAGCAGATAAGCTCTGCTATGCCAAAACTTCCATATAATTTTTCTATATAACTTTAAATTTAAATGAACAAGAAAAGAATCATTACATAGAGGAGGAAAAAATCATTAAGGAAGTAGAGAAAAAACAAATAAAGAGAAATAAGGGAGAACAGAAAATGCAGGGATCGGAACAAAACTTGTTAAGGAGCTACAATTAATATTCTTGAGGAAAAAACAGAATGCTGTGTATGAAACAATAATATGCTATACAAAAAGGAGAAATAGTAAAGAATTTGAATGCTAAAAATATGGCAATTAAATTTTAAAAATTAATAGGAAGTTTGGAAAAGTCCAGAAAATAACAATATAAGACAAAAAGATAAAAGAAAAAGAAAATTAGAAATTTAAAGTATTAACACAGAAAGCTCAATATCTAATTAACAATACTTATAATAAGTTAAATTACTAATAAGTTCTTTGTTATTCAATAAGACAAAGAGTAGAAAGCAGGGAATTATGTCGGGAAACAACAGGAAAAAAAATCTCCTAGATAAATTGCTCAGTATAATAAAGGAAAAGTTTTTTAAATCTAGAGCAAGACTTGTAATCATGGAAATGCAGAGCACAAAGGATAAAGGAAAAATATTAAGGAATTAGACAAAATAACTTAGCTCTCTTTTACTCTTTCTTAGAAAATCTACTGGAGGACGTGCTTCAAAAAAATGAATATGTAAATGATTTAAAAAGAAAGATATGGGATCCTGTAAATGTAGATGAAGGAGAAGCCCTAGAGTGATAAACATGACCCACGCCTTGAAAACAAACAGCTGGTCCAACATTAGGCTATTTGTGGATGGGAAAAGGAAATAAATCATGTGATACATTTGGCCTTGTAGGAAATAATAGTGAAGGATTACAGATCTCTGTGTTGATTTGAGAAGAATTTAAAAAATAAATGACAAGGTTAGGCAACTGTTAATTCTTAAAAAACTAGAAGTTGTATAAGAAAGTAAATTTAATTATAATGTGCTACTTGACTAAACTATGAACAATATGTTACTAGTTGTCATACTATATACTCTAATTCAGGATTCTAATACAGCAATTTTTGGAGGGGAAAAGTAATTAGGCACATGGGATAGGCAAGAACTATGATGTGAGAATTAAATGTTCCTGAATCATAGCCACCAGTCTATAATAATGTCTGAAACATAGAAATAAATAAATAGCAATGGTGCAGGTAGGGTTCCCTGGCAAGCCAACTGTAATACAGAAATTAACTTGTAGCTTATTAAAGAATGTTTTTGGGCTCAAATTTATGGACAGGAAGGAGAGGAAACACATTTGAGCAAAAGGAAAAATTGATCAGCAACACAATTTCAATCTAATGCCTCACCTAATTCTGCTCTGAAGATGAGATGTGCATTCAGAGTAGTTTGGAGTAGCAGGTTCTTTGGAACAGTCCTGAAGATTAGGAAGAGAATAAGGGCTTTATACCTCTCACCACTGCTGATATTAGTGGAGATAACTTTTAAATGAGGCAATTTCTGGAAAACAGTGGTGCCTGAGGGCTGTCTGCCAGTGACACACCCAGCGTGTGGGTAATAAGTCCTACAATAACGAAGGGGGAGTCTGCACAGTGCATCGCAGTATCCACCCCAGCAGTATAAGTGTATTACAGGCAGACCTCACTTAATTGCACTTCACTTTGTTGGGCTTTTCAGATATTGCAGTTTCTTTACAAATTTAGTTGGAGGCAACTTTTTCAAGCAAGTCTATAGGTGCCATTTTCCAACAGCATGGACTCACTTCTTATCTCTGTGTCACATTTAGGAAATTCTCACAATATTTCAAACTTTTTCATATTATTATATCTGTTATGGTAATCTTTGATCAGTGATCTTTGATGTTATTATTATAATTGTTTTGGGGTGACACAAAGCACACCCATATAAGAAAGCCAATGGAATCAGTAAATGTTGTGTGTGTTTTGACTGCTCCACCAACCAGACATTTCCCCATCTCTTTTTCTCTTCTCAGGCCACCCTATTTCCTGAGAAACAACTGTATTGACATTAGGCTAATTAATAACCCTAAAATGGCCTGTATGTGTTCAAGTGAATGGAAGAATCTCACATTTCTCACTTTAAATCAGAAGCCAGAATGATTAAACCTAGTGAGGAAGGCATGTCAAAAGCCAAGACAGGCTGACAGCTAGGCCTTTTGTGACAAATAGGACAAATAGCCAAGTTGCAAAAGCAAAGGAAAAGTTTTTTTTTTTTTTTTTTTGAGACGGAGTCTCGCTGTCGCCCAGGCTGGAGTGCAGTGGCGCAATCTCGGCTCACTGCAGGCTCCGCCCCCTGGGGTTCACGCCATTCTCCTGCCTCAGCCTCCCGAGTAGCTGGGACTACAGGCGCCCGCCACCTCGCCCGGCTAATTTTTTGTATTTTTAGTAGAGACGGGGTTTCACCGTGTTAGCCAGGATGGTCTCGATCTCCTGACCTCGTGATCCGCCCGCCTCGGCCTCCCAAAGTGCTGGGATTACAGGCGTGAGCCACCGCGCCCGGCCGAAAAGTTTTTGAAGGATATTAAAAGTGCCAGTCCAGTTAACACACAGATGATAAGAAAGCAAAACAGCCGTACTGCTGATATGATGAAATGTTCATGGCCTGGATAGATCAAACCAATCACAACCTTCCCCAAAGCCAAAGCCTACTCCAGAGCAAGACCCCAACTCTTTTTAATTCTATGAAGGCTGAGAATGATGAGGAAGCTGCAGAAGAAAAGTTGAAAGCTAATAGAGGTTGGCTCATAAGAGTTAAGGAAAGAGGTCACCTCCATAACATAAAAATGCAAGGTGAAGGAGCAAGTGCTGATGTAGAAGCTGCAGCAAATTGTCTAGAAGACCTCACTAAGATCATTGATGAAGATGGCTGCACTAAACAACAGATGTTTAATGTAGATGAAACAGCTCTGTATTGAAGGAAGATTTCGTAGACTTTCACAGTTGGAGAGAAGTCAATGTCTGATTTCAAAGCTTCAAAGGACAGGCTGACTTTCTTACTAGGAGCTAATGCAGCTAGAGACTTTAAGTTGAAGACATTGCTCATTTACCATTCCAAAAACCCTGGGGGCCGTAAGAATTATGCTAAATCAACTCTGCCTGTGCTCTATAAGTAGAAAAAAAGCCTGAATGATAGCACATCTGTTTACAGCAGAAGTGTCCAATCTTTTGGCTGCCCTGGGCCACATTGCAAGAATTGTCTTGGGCCACACATAAAATACACTAACACTAACAACAGATGATGACTTAAAAAAAATCTCATAAAGTTTTTAAAAAATCTATGAATTTGTGTTGTGCTACATTCAAAGCCATCCTGGGCTACATGCAGCCCATGGGGTCGTGGGTTGGACAAGTTTGGTTTACAGCATAGTTTACTGAATATTTTAAGCCCACTGTTGAGACCTACTACTCAGAAATAAAAAGATTCCTTCCAAAATATTACTGCTCATTGACAATGCACCTGGTCACCCAAGTGCTCTGCTGCAGAAGTACAAAGAGATTAACATTGTTTTCATGCCTGCTAAAACATTATCCATTCTGCAGCCCATGGATAAAACAATAATTTCAACTTTCAAGTCTTTTTGTTTAAGAAATACATTTCCTTAGACAATAGCTGCCACAGGTAGTTATTCCTCTGATGAATATGGGCAAAGTAAATTGAAAACCTTCTGGAAAGAATTCACCATTCTGGATTCCATTAAGAACATTCATTCATGGAAGGAGTTCAAAATAACATTAACAGGAGTTTAGAAGAAGTTGATTCCAACCCTCATGTATTACTTTGCAGAGTTCAAGACTTCAGTAGAGGAAGTCACTGTAGATGTGGTGGAAATAGCAAGAGAACTATAATTAGAAGTGGACCCTGAAGATGTGATTAAATTGCTGCAATCTCATGATAAAACTTGAATGAATGACGACTTGTTTCTTATGAAAATCCTTTCTTGAGATGAAAAATATTCCTAATGAACATGCTGTAAACATTGTTGAAATGACAACAGAATATTTAGGATATCACATAAATTTAGTTGATAAAGCAGTGGCAGGGTCTAAGAGGACTGACTCTAATTTTGAAAGTACTACTGTGTGAAAAATGCTATCAAACTGCATTGCACTCTACAGAGAAATGCTTTATGAAAGGAAGAGTCAGTTGATGTGGCAAACCTCATTGTTGTTTCCTTTTAAGAAATTGCCACAGCCACTTCAGTCTTCAGCAACCACCACCCTGATCAGTCAGCAGCCAGCAACACTGAGGCAAGGCCCTCCACCAGCAAAATGATTACCAATCACTGAAGTCTCAGTGATTGTTAGCATTTTTTTAGCAATAAAGTATTTTAATTAAGGAATGTGCATTATTTTTTAGTCATAGTGCTATTGCCTACTTAATAGCATTAAGTGTTTAAAGTATAGCATAAACATGACTTTTATATGCATTGAGAAACCACAAAGTTTGTGTGCTCACTTTATGGCAATACTTGCGTTATTGCGGTGGTCTGGATCCAAATCCACAATATATCTGTAGTATGCCTATATTTGGAAATATTAAGTTAAGAAGCACTTAAAAGACCTGACCTAGACTCAGAGACCTAGTTGTCTCTGATAAGCTGGTCTTATGATGTGAGGAACGGTCAAAGAGGACTGCTATGTGTCATTTTAAACCTATTGGTTTAAGAAGCCTACTGATGGCTTTTTCTTTTTATTTATTAGTTGACAAAGATAAAAATAATTTTTAAAACCAAGACACAAAAACTATTTAAATGTAAATCTATACATATAAGAATAAATAAAAATGAAGACTTCAAATTTCTTTGTTATGTTAATGTGGAGAGAATATTGTTAGGAATGCATGTAGGAATAAAGGTAGGGTATACGTAGATACCCAATGTTTACACATTCTATAAAGTCATTTATTATATTTTTAATTTTAAAAGATAATGAATAAATTTTATGAATAAATCGATTAACTTGTGAAATTTTACTACTTAAAAGAACTTATTTGTTTATTAAAATAGACTCATCTACATTTGTTGTATCGAGTTGGATTTTCATATGAGACTGAAAAATATCTATCTATATCCGTCTATCTATCTCTGTTAACACACTGCTAATCATAAGACATTCTGTTGGAGTCATATATACCTCCACCTGTCTGTCTATATTATATATATAATCTGTAGCATATCACAGAAAATTAGAGATCAGATACCTCAGCACAGGAAATCCATTTTATTTTTGCTAACATCAAGCAGTAAAATACCTCTCTGAAAAAAGCCATTACCAAAAACTCTCACTTTACTACTTAGCAAATTTTTATTCAGCTATCAAGATCCAATATAAAAGCCACTTTCTTTCCAAAGCATTCATGTACATTCCTCTCTCCTCTACCCAGATGTAATCTCTGTCACATTCATAATAAGTAGAGTATATGCTTATATTCAAAGCGTCTAAAACTTGCTTGATACACAAAATGTTAGAGGTGTTTCTTAAAATTATAGATTCTCCATCTCCTGCCCTAGAGTATCTGAATTAGTGCCTCTGGTGTTACGACTACCAATATGTATTTTAAGACATTTCCAAGCTGATATGTTATAATCAGGCAAATTTTGTAAACATTGCTCAAGTATAAAAAGCAAATGCTTTGAAAGATGAGAGATTGTAGGTCTAATCACAGCTACACTCACTAGCTACATGGCACCAAACAAACATCCTCAACCTCTCAGTTTTCTCCTCTGTAAAATGGAGATAAATCTAATTTCATTAGTCAAATAATATAATATTAGGACCTAGCACAGTTACCAGCACTAAATAGTCTCATCTTTCTTTTTAATCCACTCTGACTCATTAAAGCACACACCATCTTGCATTATACTCAGTTATTTATAACTGTATTTATTGGTGCCACAAGGACAGGCACCACATTTTTTATCTTACCTACCGGGTACTGTGGTAGGTACATAAAACACTTTACCATGTACCAGGTACATGGTTGGCGCACAAAAACTATTTACAAAATAAATTAACTTAAGACGACCTCCTAATCCCAAATTTCAGTTCTTTCCCCCGATTTATTCCCTTATCTAATCTCTTCCACTTCTTCCCACTCTCAACAGATTGTATGTAACAAAGTATATTCCTGATAATAAAAAAGATGAAATAATACACTTGAAATATAAATAAAAATTAAATTGGTGATTAGAAATAGAAGAAAATGCAATTAAAACTTAAAGGGATGAAAGGAGTTTGAAATGATTCTCCATATTTTTCCTGTGCCATAAAAATGTATGGATTTCATTGTTTTAATATGCCATATTTCTGAGAAACACAGTGTACTTAGGTTCCTAGAACAGAAATGATCATTAGTGTGAGTCTAATTTAGTTCCCTGCTAAAGGTGATAAAGGCAGCTCATTTATTCTTCCTAGTAAAGAAGTCCTTTTATTGTTTCAAAGTCTTCTCATGATCTTAAAGGTGCAGCCAAATGATGGGATTCAGTGATGACATCGGGGCAGGCAAAATTAGACTATTTTTCAAATATCATGTAATCCATTTTGGGGGAAAAATTGTATTTTTTAGCAAAGTAAAAATGAACTGGTTCATTATTTATTATTAGCAGCTGATGGATGTAGGAGGATTACTTGGCAGCTAGATTTTTAATATCTAAAGATGAAAATTAAGCATTTTTATAATAATGATGTGCTTGTAAAAATGTATTTTCATAACCACCTTTCATTAGAAGTATTGTTATCTCTGGAGGCTGTTGAAGGAAAAGATCACGGAGAACAAGACTGCAGCCTCACACTCAGAAAGAGCAGCACCCAAATACTGTTGCTGTCATTTCTGCAGAACCTCACTGATAAGTCATTTTCCCTGGTACTTCCTCTTGGATTTGGAAGTTGCTCAGCAAAATAGTTAATTGCTAAATGTCAGAGTAGCTTGCATGTATCTGAAGCACAATCTCACCATTTAACTTAGAATTTGAACAAGTATTTAGTACCCTTCCAATCTGCTGTTACTTATGAAATAAAGATACTAATATCAATGTCATAGGATTAGTTTGAGAAGGAAGTTAGATAATGAACTTACAGCATGTCAATGTCTGGTTATTGTCATTAATGTTAGAGTGGACTAGGGAATTCATAAATCAACATTTAGATTTCTGATGGGCATTTCCGGTTGTCCATACTTCCACGTACAAAACTCTTAGGTACTACTTTGTATTTTCCAAGCTCTGTAATAAATTATTTTATATTTACTTTTCACAACCAAGCCATGAGATACATTATCTCCACAATATAAGGGAAAAAACTGAACCCTAGAGAGGTGAAATATTCTGTCCTGAGGCAGCAGCTTGTAAGTGGCAAGCTGGGATTTGCACTCAGTCTGCGCTAGAGGATTTTTTCTAAACTACAACATTCACTGCACCTTGCTTAGTACAACCTGAACAAGAGCAGGAAGAACCACCAACATCAACTAAATTTATACCAATTTAAAGTTCGAGAAAAGAAAATCATACTGAGATGAAATAACTTCCACAAAGCTTCAAAGAAAAACTGCATCAAAGGCTTGCTTAAACTCTGATGTATCAGTGCCTTGGGTTTTTTGCACTTTCTTGCAAAGTTTGCCCTTGATTTACAAGTAAGAAATGGGAACTAACTACTCTAAAAACTCATGTCATAAGTAGCTGGCTGAACTTAAGGAGATTTTCTTTCATTTGTTTTTCCTTTTCCTGAAACAAATATGCTAATAGCAATAATTTTCTAAGTACCTTAAAATATATATTTTTTAGTTTCCCAGCAGAATGCCGTTGGAACTGAGGATTTTACCTCAAAAATTATAAGTCAATTATGATTATGAGTAAATATTATTTCATGACTCTGAGAATTTTATTTCTTTGCTTTGACTTCTTCGAGAACTATAGACATTTTCCTTATTACTTTACAGATAACCAAATGAGAACAGCAAGGTTAGGGGACTTGATGAAACAGTTGAATATAAAAATACTACCAACTGTGACATTTCTGTACCTGAAAAGGGATGACAAACATTAATCCCTGTGCCTTGGTTGTAGACCTTCATGTGTGTCTAAGAGACATTTCGAATTATCTGTTCAATCTGTTTTCAAAGAATTATCTTTGCTTATGATATTTTAGCTCACAATAAAATGTAGATTTTTTATTAATTGATCAAGAAGCTCAACCAAACAAATAAGAAAAACATTCATATTTCACTTGTACAATTACAAGTGTACTTAAATGCTTAAATACAATAAATATTTCAGCAACAATAAAAACAATAGAAAACTGAGAATGGAATATTTCCCAGTAAGAATGCCAGAGCTAACCCAGGATGTCCACTGGTAGATATGGCAAACATAAGCCTTGAGAACGATAAGATTAAAAGGTATTTTTAAAAGCTATTAAATCATTCACTCAGTATTCAAACACACTCAGTACTCAAACACATTAAAACAGGATTCAGGTTTAATTCCTCCTCTTCTTTCAAAATTGGATTCCATCCTATAAACTCTATCTTAAAAGAATATATTTTCCTTTTTATTTCCTTTCAGTTGTCAAGACCTTAAATTCAGACACTTCACATAATACTCTCCAAATTGATTCATGGCTTCCATTTCTTACCAGCATTAATCACATTATTACTTTTTGAACATATCACTGATTTAATTAAAAAGCTTCACTATTTAAGAACAGTGTTCTCCTCCTTGTATTCAACTTCCTTCATAAATATTTCCAACCTGCCTTTTTTTAACCTTATCTTCACTACTCACTTAATTTTACTCTATCCAGTCAGCCCTTCATTTCTCTGGGTTCCACATCCATGGATTCAATCCATAGCAGATCAAACATATTTTTTAAATGGATGATTGCACAATGAGATACCACATCACATCAGTCAGAATAGCTATTACTAAAAAGTCAGAAAACAACAGATGCTGACATGGCTGCAGGGGGAAAGGAACGCTTACACACTGTTGGTGGGAACATAAATTACTTCACCCATTGTGGAAAGCAGTTTTCAGGTTTCTCAAAGACCTTAAAACAGAACCACCATTTAACCCAACCCCATTACTAGGTAAACATCCAAAACAAAATATATCATTCTTCCAAAAAGACACAGGCACTTGTATGTTTATCTCAGCACTGTTTACATTAGCAAAGACATGGAATCAACCTAGGTGCCCATCAGTGGTGGACTGAACAAAGAAAATGTAGTACATATACTCCATGGAATACTATGCAGCCATAAAAAAATGAAACCATGTCCTTTGCAGCGATGTGGATGGAGCTGGAGGCTATCATCCTAGGCGAATTAATGCAGGAACCGAAAATCAAATATTGCATGTTCTCAGTTATAAGTGGGAGCTAAACACTGGGCACTCATGAGCATAAAAATGGCAAGAACAGATACCAGGGACTACTAAAGGAAGGAGACAGGGAGGTGGGCAAGGGTTTAAAAACTATTCCATACTATGCTCACTATCTGGATGACAAGATCATTGATACCACAAACCTCACCGTCATGCAACATACTCATGTAAAAAACCTGCACATGTATCCTTAAATCAAAAATATAAGTTGAAAATATATTTTTTAAAAAAATGAATGGATGTAATGAATGTGTACAGACTTTTTCTTGTCATTATTCTCTAAAAATTACAATATAAAACTATTTACATAGCATTTACATTGTATTAAGTATTATAAGTAACCCAGCAATAATAATATTATTGGTTATATCACAATTAAATTTTGTTAAGTCTATTTTTAGTAAATCAATTTCTTTCTGTTGAAATTTTAACATTAATTGAGTCTTTTTTCTACTTTGTTTTTTATATACCTAGTAATTATCTACCCCCAAACTTTCCACAGAAATATGTGTCATCTCAGCATTGTTAAATGCATCAATCTATCTTTATTTCACCCTCAAACTTACTTGAGAGCTGTAATGACATAGAATTCTGGGTTAAAACTTATTTTGTTGAGATACTTAAAGGCATGTGATTCTTCATCTTCTAACTTTTAGGTGTGTTCTTTATGAAGTTCAGTGACATTCTGATTGTCAGTCTATTCTGATCCCCAATCCTTGGGAAACTTTCAGGATCCTCTTTTTTTTAATCACTCCTATCCTGATATTTCAAAAAGTTGTGCCTTGATTTGGGCCTTTTAATTGTGGTAGGCATTTTCCATCTGTAAAATCATGTTATGTTCTGTGAAATACTCTTGCATCATTTGTTATTAAATTTACCCCCTACTTTTTTATTGTTCTTCCATTACAAAACTCTCATTTGAAAAATGTGGATCTCTAAATTAGTCTCACGTTTTTACCTTTTTATTTTCTATCTCTGCATCCTTTTATTTTTCTCTAGCTGATATACTCAACTATATCTTACAATCTATCTATTGGTTTTTAAAATTCAGTTCCTAATTTTTAACTTCTAAGGGCTCTTTCTTGCTCTAAGAATATTCTCTTTTTTTATACTGAACTACTCTTGTTTTATGGGTGTAATATCTATTCCTCTCTAAGGCTATTTAATACAGCATTTTGGATTTTTTTTCTGCTTTCTGCATTGCCTTTGTTTTCTCTGAGTTCCTTCTCATCTTACTTTCCTCACACACCCCCTTGTTTCATGTTATCTATTCATTAAAAGTGAAATAATAAAATCTGATTTTTATTCAGGTTTGCTAAATAAACAAAACAATCTTGAGAATAACAAAATTTAGAGGCTCATGCTTCCATTTCAAAATGTATTACAAAGCTACAATCATTAAAACTGTGGTACTAGCATAAGGATAGATATATAGATCACTGCAATAGAATTGAGAGTGCAGAAATAAACCCACACATCTATAGCCAACTGATTTCAATGAGGCTGTCAAGATTATTTAATAGAGAAAGAACAGTCTCTTCAACAAATGATTCTGGGACAACAGGATATCCACATGTAAAAACTAAAGTTCAACTTCTACCTCACACCACATACAAAAAAAAATTAATCCAAAATAGATAAATGACCTAAATAGAAGAGCTAAAACTATTAAACTTTTAGAAGAAAACAAAGGGGTAAATCTTCATGATATTAGTTCTTAGATTTGACACCAAAAACACAAACAAAAGAAGAAAAAAAGATAAGTGGGACCTTGAGAAAACTGAAAATTTCTGTTCAGCAAAGGATGCTATCAAGTACATAAAAAAGACAGCCAACAGAATGGGAGAAAATGTTTGTAAACAATATATCTGATAATGGTAGTCTAGTATCAAAAATATAAAAAGGACACTTACAACGCAATAACACACAGAAAAATAATGAATTTAAAAATGATCAAAATGCTTAAGTTGACATTATTCCAAAGACAATATATAAATGCCCAAAAAATACATGAAAAGATGCTCAACATCCTTTAGGTAAATCCAAGTCAAACTAATGTGATATCACCTCACACGCACTAGTATGACCATAATCAAAATACAGAAAATAGCAATTGTTGGTGATGTGGAGAAATTAAAATATTACTCAAACATAAAAAGGAATTAAGCACTGACACATACTACAGTGAGGATGAACCTCAAAAATATTATGCTAAGTGACATAAGCCAGATACAAAAGGTCATTTTATATGATTCCATTTATATGAAATATTCAGAATAGGTAAATAAATAAAGACAGAAAGCAGTTTAGTGGTTAACAGGGATTGGGTCCCACAGGTTTCATAGGTCTGCACATTTTCTACGAGGACCTTAAAATTTTGTTTTATCATTTTTTGTTAAGCTTAAAAAGTAATAAAAATATAAACATTCTGGAATATCTCAAATATCAGCTTTTTTTTTCTTTAAGTTCTAGGATACATGGGCACAACGTGCATGTTTGTTACATAGGTATACATGTTCCATGTTGGTGTGCTGCACCCATTAACTCGTCATTTACATTAGGTATTTCTCTTAATGCTATCCCTCCCCACTCCTCCCATCCCACAACAGGCCATGGTGTGTGATGTTCCCCGCCCTGTGTCCAAGTGTTCTCATTGTTCAGTTCCCACTATGAGTGAGAATATGCGGTGTTTGGTTTTCTGTCTTTGCAATAGTTTGCTCAGAATGATGGTTTCCAGCTTCATCCATGTCTCTACAAAGGATACGAACTCATCCTTTTTTATGGCTGCATAGTATTCCATGGTGTATATGTGCCACATTTTCTTAATCCAGTCTATCATTGATGGATATTTGGATTGGTTCCAAGTCTTTTCTATTGTGAATAGTGCTGCAATAAACATATGTGTGCATGTGTCTTTATAGCAGCATGATTTATAATTCTTCGGGCATATACCCAGTAATGGGATCACTGGGTGAAATGATATTTCTAGTTCTAGACCCCGGAGGAATTGCCACACTGTCTTCCACAATGGTTGAACTAGTTTACATTCCCACCAACAGCATAAAAGTGTTCCTGTTTTTCCACATCCTCTCCAGCACCTGTTGTTTCCTGACTTTTTAATGATCGCCATTCTAACTGGTGTGAGATGGTATCTCATTGTGGTTTTGATTTGCATTTCTCTGATGACCAGTGATGATGAGCATTTTTTCATGTGTCTGTTGGCTGCATAAATGTCTTCTTTTTAGAAGTGTCTGTTCATATCCTTTGCCCACTTTTTGATGGGGTTGTTTGATTTTTTCTTGTAAATTTGTTTGAGTTCTTTGTAGATTCTGGATATTCGCCCTTTGTCAGATGAGTAGGTTGCAAAAATTTTCTCCCATTCTGTAGGTTGCCTGTTGACTCTGATGGTAGTTTCTTTTGCTGAGCAGAAGCTCTTTAGTTTAATTAGATCCCATTTGTCAATTTCAGCTTCTGTTGCCATTGCTTTTGGTGTTTTAGTCATGAAGTCCTTGCCCATGCCTATGTCCTGAATGGCATTGTCTAGGTTTTCTTCTAGGGTTTTTATGGTTTTAGGAACTATCAGCTTTAAGCGTGGAATTTCAGTGCCTGGGTTTGCATTTTTTTACTAAGATTTCATTGGTATCAGGTAGTAAAAATTTTATTGTCAAGGATGATGAAAGACTGAACAAAGCAGATTTATTATAGATGCATTGTACATTAGCTTACGGCCAAGTGACGTTAAGGCACATTCCTGAAATAAAAGTTTTCACAGCAGTTCAAAGAGAGAAGAGACCAAATCCATTCAACACTAAAGCATCAGCACCTAATTCACATGGCTAATATAATAGCACAGAGTTCCTACAAAAATTACATCATCAGCCCTTCAAATTAAGGTAGCTTATTTGGATCTTATTGCATTGAAGTTTTGTTGGCAATTAATTTGCAAATTGATTTTGTTAACTTGTAAGAATAACAAGCTTAAAAATTGATATTAGTTTTACATACACATATTTTAAGTTAACATTTTTATAATAAAAATAACTTAAGTTGGCCCGGATAGGGGTATCTGTGAGAATTGTTTTCTACATCATCCATTTTAATAATAAGAAGAAAAAATTTAAAGAAATTTTGATTAGGAAAAGATTTTTGTTTTATGGGTTACATAAGAATAATAAATAAGTAGATGATACACACTGAATATTTACAAAGGTATGTCACAGGAAAGAAGCTGCATGATATTTTAAAGGAATTCTGCAGAGCTACTTTATTATGTTGAAAACTGTTGTATCATTTGTACATTCCTATTAACAGGATGGGGTGCAGGGAGTAAATTTTCTGAAAAGCAAAGATTTTGTAAACTAGACAGTTTGGAATAACCATATTTGGCATTTGAGATTATTTTGGTGAAATTCATCTACTTGTGCAGTTTAATTTTTTAATAAGAAAATATATTGGCTTCCAACTATCCTAAATGGATTTCAATTATCTTATTCTTTTTTATTTTATTTGTAAAATATATTCAAAAAATGTAATGTTAAGTCAGTTCACAAAGACACTGGCTTTTTAAAGCCACAAATATTGAATGTGATGCTTATTTTTGGCATATCCTGTGGAAAACACAGACTAGAAATATTATTATGACAGCTTATATACTTGCAAAATATTTGCTGACACTGTTCTTCAAGCTTACGTAATAACGTTCTTCTGCCATTATATTTTATAGACCTAGCATCATATCTGATTCTCTGATTTGCATATTACATGGTTAATGTTCCTTGCTGGGATATTTCTAATTTATTATTATTATTTATATATAACACCTTTTGTTATTAGCTATACCTCCAATCATATGTATAAGATGAGATAATAGTATTATTCAGATGGGTCTTCTTACACATTACACACACAAATATACTAAGTGAAATCATGTCTTTGCTTGCAAATGTAGTGCTATTTCCCCATTTTTAAACTTTTTTGTTTTTCAGAAATGAGGGCAATAACAGGTTGCTGCATTAAAAGTATTTCATTAGATTCTAATTGTGATTAAGGAGTATATTTGCAGCTCACCTTATGGGCATAGATTAAAGATGTGAAGTAGCACACAAGGGACCTCATTAGCATGGTGATTACAAGTTAATCAGTAATACAAAGAACAGAGAAATAATGAAACAGAAAAACAAATTTTTGATGCATTCATTATTAGATTTTCTTGGCTTTTAAAGGTTTAAAAACTATCAGGCTAATGTTTGGTACTTTCATCTTTTTAGATTGTGCTATCCTAAGGGAATAGTTTAGTGCTGCCGGGTAAAACCACTGAGGGAGAGGCGTCATTGGGTCATTTATTTTATTTTATTTTATTTTATTTTTCTAGACAATAAGCATTTAGTAAGTGAATACTAGCAGCAAGGCACACTACTAGGTTCTGTGATGAATACAAATACATGCAAGAATGAAACTTGAATATAAGAAAAACACATACAACAAAGCAAAGTTTAAGTTCTCGGTGAAAAGAGAAAATTTTGATGGGGATATCAGAGAAGGATATGAAAAACATTAGGATTCAATCTAAATCTTGAAGAACAGGATTCTAAGAGGTAGACATCATAAATTGGCATTCAAGGAAGATGACATAGGATAAGCAAAAACAGGGGTAAAAATTGTTCATTTATGTTTGAAAAAACATAAAGTAGAATGAAATTTTTACAGAGCAAAGTACCTATAGAACAATAAGAGGAGATAGAATTGTTAAAGAAAAATTGGGCCCCGATGCAAGAAGATATTAAGGAGTTTGAGTTTTTATCTCTAAGCCGTGGGGGTCTGTATTAGTCCATTTTCCTACTGCTATAAAGAAATACCCGAGACTGGGTAATTTATAAAGGAAAGAGATTTAAGTGACTCCCAGTTCCACATGGCTGGGGACGCCTCAGGAAACTTACAATCATGGCGGGAGGCAAACGGAAAGCCAGCACCTTCTTCAGTAGACAGAGGAGAGAGAAGGGCAAGCAAACAAGGAAGTTCCATGCTTTTAAAGCCATCAGATCTCGTGAGAATCCCCTCACTATCACAAGAACAGCGTGGAGGAAACCACCCCCGTGATCCAATTACCTCCCTCCCTCCACACGTGGGGATTACAATTCAAGATGAGATTTGGGTGGGAACACAGAGCCAAACCATATCAGGGTCCAATGGATGGGGAAAAAAAAAGATGCTCATTTTTGAAAATTCAAAAAATAGAAAGAATTAAAGTATGCCACCTAAAGTCATTTAAGGTTTTTTGTGCATGGAAATGATAGATGAGCAGAGATATAAATGAATCACACTAGGGTTTTGAAAATATGCTATAAGTGGCCAATGTGAAGAATATAAGTTTGGAGTATGCATATTTCTTCTCTTTTTTTCTTTGAATGAAAAAACAGACCTATGAATTTTTCATCATTTGCACCAGTAACTTTTCTGCATTTCCCGAGGTAATTTTACATCCACTCCTTTGTCTTATTTCTGTAAAACATGTAGCAGGGGTATTATTAACATTATATTTTAGTGAAAATATTAAGTGACTTGTCCAAGGTCAACCAACCAGCTTAAGATAGAGTCAAAATTAGAATTCAGAATTCTCAGAACATGTTTCAGTGTTCTTACCACTGTATTTATTCAAACCACCAGAATCAAGGCATGGAATAGCAGTGTTCTGTATAGTATTCCTTCACATATTCACCCACTCTTCCAGAACATTTATTAGTGCCGGATGGCAAGGTATCATGAGGATAAGAGGTAAATAAGACATAATCTTGACTTCCAGGTTCTTAGCCTTTCATGAAACATTCATAGTGATAATAAGATGGAATATTCAGCAGAAACTTCTATTATGCATGGTACTGGGCTCCATTTTATGAAAAACTTTCTTTCTTCTGGAGAAAATTCAATCAGAGTAGATCATTATTTCTAATTCCTCTTTGTATTGCTTGTTCATGCCAAAGAGGAGGAAAGACATCTCTAATACATGAGTTTTGAAAAGGTAAGGCTGAAGTTCATCCAGGCTTGTTTAGGAGCCAGTCTGCCAGGCAGATGGGTGCACTCTGGACTGCCCTGTGCTATGCAGTGCCGCTTCAGGGGAAGCCTGTAGTAACTCGGTTGCACTAGTGACTGGGTTAGTAAGTCTGATTGAGGGTAAAGTACTGGTAAACACACTTGGCTGTAGGTCTAAAGTCATGCTTTCCAATTACCTTTCTCATAATGCAGCCAACATCTTCACTTCCTTATGCCTCATTATGCCTATCTCAATTGGATCTGCACTCAGAATGGGAAGGTAACCATGATTTGATGGCCATCTAAACATGTGTGCCTATTATCATCTTTTCACCAGCCATAGAGGAATTGATTATAATGCTATTACTGTTTTCACAATGATGAAATTGAGGCATAAAAGATTAAGTAACTTATCCACATTTCACACAGCTAGTTAGTGACAGAGCAGGGCCATGAGCTAATTCTGTGTAATTGGCCACACCCCAACCATAATGTAAGGTGAACAGTAACAAATTCCTTAAAAGACTCATACCATGTTATTACATATTCAATTCCATAAACAAAGATCATAATTTGTCTTTTAACAGTGGATCGTCTCAAAGAAGGAGCAAAAATCCTTTTGAGAGACATGTTATTCATTAATATGACCCAGCAGAGTAATCTTTTAAACATGAAAAAAATTATTTTATCTATGAGTCAGATGCCATAATTCACCCAATTCTATTCTATATGACCTCACTCTCAGCTCCTATTGCAGTTTCTACTAGGTAGCACTAAATATAAATTCTAGTTAGGGCAATAAAAGAACATAGTTTTCCATGGTCTGTCACCAATACCTAAATTGCTTTTTTTTTTTTTTATAGTAGAATGTTTGCTTTTTTTATTTTTTAGATCAGTGCCATTTACAGGTGCCATCTGCCCAAGGCAAATTTATTCTTTTTTTATTTTTATTTTATTATTATTATACTTTAAGTTTTAGGGTACATGTGCACAATGTGCAGGTTAGTTACATATGTATACATGTGCCATGTTGGTGTGCCGCACCCATTAACTCGTCATTTAGCATTAGGTATATCTCCTAATGCTATCCCTCCCCCCACCCCACCCCCACAACAGTCCCCAGAGTGTGATGTTCCCCTTCCTGTGTCCATGTGTTCTCATTGTTCAATTCCCACCTATGGGTGAGAACATGCGGTGTTTGGTTTTTTGTCCTTGCGATAGTTTACTGAGAATGATGATTTCCAATTTCATCCATGTCCCTACAAAGGACATGAACTCATCATTTTTTATGGCTGCATAGTATTCCATGGTGTATATGTGCCACATTTTCTTAATCCAGTCTATCATTGTTGGACATTTGGGTTGGTTCCAAGTCTTTACTATTGTGAATAGTGCCGCAATAAACATATGCATGCATGTGTCTTTATAGCAGCATGATTTATAGTCCTTTGGGTATATACCCAGTAATGGGATGGCTGGGTCAAATGGTATCTACAATGAACTCAAACAAATTTACAAGAAAAAAACAAACAACCCCATCAAAAGGTGGGCGAAGGATATGAACAGACACTTCTCAAAAGAAGACATTTATGCAGCCAAAAAACACATGAAAAAATGCTCACCATCACTGGCCATCAGAGAAATGCAAATCAAAACCACAATGAGATACCATCTCACACCAGTTAGAATGGCAATCATTAAAAAGTCAGGAAACAACAGGTGCTGGAGAGGATGTGGAGAAATAGGAACACTTTTACACTGTTGGTGGGACTGTAAACTAGTTCAACCATTGTGGAAGTCAGTGTGGCGATTCCTCAGGGATCTACAACTAAATTGCTTTTCAATAAGAAGAACCTGGTTTCTGGTTTCTCAACCAAATCAAAGACTCAGTCCAGTTAGATTCAGGGAGTGTGTATTTTACCTGGAGTCTGATTATACTTGGAGAGTCTCTCTCTGAGAATTAGTTAAGTACAAGAGCACTTATACTCTTGAGGTATGCTATAGATTCATTATATAATATTATAGAGGAGATACAATATATGTTAATCACAATATAGCTACAATAAATATGTGAAAGACAGGCTAGAGATCCTACTCTGTATGTTAGCTTCTGTGTCAGAGAGTCCTCAAGACCACCTACAGGTTTAAAGATTTGCCTCAGGACTCAGCATAAGTTGAACTCAGGATTATGATTTTTTTATAGCAAAAGGATACAAAGCAATATCAGCAAAGGAAAGAGGTACATGGAGTGAAATCTGGAGGAAACCAGGCACAAGTTTTCAAAGGTCCTCTCCTAGTGGAATAACACAGGATGCTCTTAATTTCCCAAAAATAAGTAATGATGTGAGTGAAATGTTTTCAACTAGGGAGGTTCATTAGGGACTCAGTGCCCTGGGTGTTTACTTCGGGTTGGTCATATAGGCAGTTTCTGCCTGGCATATACCAAAATTCCAAACACTTAAAAAGAAAGCAGTTGTTCAACATAAACCAGGTGAACCTATTGTAAGGTTTAGGCAGAACAGTTTAGGCAGAGTAAATCACTCTTATCAGTTAATGCTGGGAAATCTAAGTTCCCAGACAGCAACCAAGGGCTAAGCTTCTCTTTCTAAGAACATGCAGTCTCAAACCTGCCATGTTAAAGATTTTCTGTACAGCTTCCAAGGGGGGAAAAAAAGCATTAAAATAGAGCTCAGTGGGCACTTTATTGAGGAATCACCAGCAGAGCAGTGTTTGGTCTTTTTAATTTCTAAAAAAAAAAAAAAAGAAATCTCAAAAAGTTTCACTTTCTTTAGATTCTATTCACACTAAAAGACATTGTGTCATTGAACAATTACACGTATTATTTCTTTTATTGTTAGGAGTTCAAAATTCTTCTCTTGACTTATGAATGGGCTAGTCCTAAAAAATAGGATGATACCAAAGGTCTATTCTCTACTTCTTATACCAAACTTCTCTTTCTTCAGCAAAGCTGTTTTGAACATCCTATTTGGTTTCCAGTTATAAGAAGAATTTAACTAAATTGAAAAAGAGGAAAAAAGTCACCAGCTTTTCCATCATGCTAAGATTACCATTTTAACTCATTGGTGTGTATATTTCAGAGTTTTTGTAAGCATATATATGCTCATTTTCTTCTTTACAAATAGGAATCGTGCTTTCTTGACCCAACAATATGCCTTCCTTACTACTAAATATCTTTCTATATGACTGTACATTCCTTTGTACAGAGGCACTGCAGCATATTTAGCTAAGCATCATTATTTTCACATGCATCAGTTTTACACACTATTCTAGGTAAAATAGGCTGACAGTAATCCTACTCTCAAGGAGATGACATTCTCTTGGGGAGAGAAAGACAAAAAGAAATGAGGTAGTTACAAGAAGTAGCAAGTACTATGAAAAAACAGACAATGTGATAAAGTAGGGAGGAGAAACTGCTTTAACTTGAATGGCAACTGAATATCTCATGAAGAGAAAACACGTGTTTTGAAACCTGGATGATGAGAATAAGGTCATCTTGGGAAGATCTGGAGGGAGAGCATTTCAAGCAGAGCAACAGTCATCGTAAAGACTTTGAGCCAAGAATAGTGGCCATGGGCAGGGTTTCTTTTCTATATGCAGAGAAAAACCTTTGGAGATTTCTGAACAAGGTAAAGATGAGTTAATTTTTTTTTTTTCTTGAGACAGTCTCGCTCTGTCGCCAGGCTGGAGTGCAGTGTCTTGATCTCGGCTCACTGCAGCTCCGCCTCCCAGGTTCAAGCAACTCTCCTACCTCAGCCTCCAGAGTAGCTGGGACTACAGGTGTGCACCACCACGCCCAGATAATTTTTGTATTTTTAGTAGAGACAGGGTTTTGCCGTGTTGGCCAGGCTGGTCTCCAAATCTTGGCCTCAAGTGGTCCACCCATCTTGGCCTCACAAAGTGCTGGGATTACAGGCATGAGCCACTGCACCCAGCTGAGTTAAATCTTTAAAAGTTCATTCTGGGTATCAAGGGTCATCAATTTTAGGAAGGGAAGAGTGACATCAGAAGCTGTTATAAGAATGTGAGTAAGAGGAAATGAGGGCTTAGTATAGAAGTGTAGTAGCAAAGATGGAATAAGCTCATCATAGTTGGAAAATGCTTTGCAGCTAGAGCAAGCGATACACTTGTTGATGCATTGGATGTGAAGTGTTAGAACAAGATATAAAGTTTGGCCCATTAATTTTTAGCTTGACCACTCATTTGAAGAAGCATTTTCATAAATTTGGAATCATGCTATTTGTCATATATAACGAAAAATATTTTTACATCTTTGTAGTTTATCCTATAATTTTGTTCATGCTGTTTTCAATACATAGTGCTACTATTTTAATTTTATGAAGTTAAATGAATCAATCTATTCCTTATCTTTATTTCTTTTAATAATAAGCTTATAAAGTAATTCTCTACCTCCAAAATTAGTCACCTATTATTTTCTACTGAATTTTGTTTCATTTTTACATGTTTGTAATATATCTAAAACATATTTGTGAGATGTGAATAATGAATATCCTTTCCTCTTCCGTGAGTGGCTGCCTAATTATCCCAACATCATTAGTTAGATAATTCATCTTTTATCCTCTGATTAAGTTGCCACTTTAATACTACATTTAGCCTTATTTTATTTAGGTCTATTTCTGGACTCCATTTATCTGCCTAAACTTGGACTAGTACCTAATTATTTTCTCGATTATTAGATTTTTATTATACACTATAATATCTAATAAGGAAAGTCCGTCCTCATTACTCTTATTTTTCAAAATTACCTAGGTTATTCTCACATTCTTTATTCCAGATGAACTGAGAATCATATTGTCGCATTTGAGGAAAAAAAAATACAGTTTAATATGTGGTAAATTACCAAGATGTCAGCTCTATATTTGATTGGAATTAATGTAAGTTTTTAGAATATGGCATGCTGAATCTAAAAAATGGCCTAATCACATAATGAGGAAAAGAAACAATCATTATTTTCTCCTTTCTTTATGCCCTTAAGGTAAGTTCAATTTCTTGCCATTTTTAAGAAAACCAAACTTTAGACATCTGTCATGTTTTGTAATAGAAATGATATTGCAACAGTTTCTTTAATTATAAACATTTACATTTTACAGTACCAAATGATTCATAGTAGAGCATTTTCACATGTTTAGCCCATTATTTTAAACTTTGAGATCACATTTTTTTTCTTCAGAGGAAGAAAATAATCTAAAGTTGTTGCTTTTATCTTATATTTTAAGCCTGACCCAGGACTCAACATTTAAACACTTCTTCATGACCAGGTATGCCATATATACTTTTTGAGTTTTCCAAGCAAGATACTTTCTGAAAATGCAATTGTATGGTTTTGATGCAGTTTTTCACATTTTAGTTTTCATTTGCTTATAAATCACACTCTTTGAATATCTTATTATTCTGAATGTCTTATTACTTCCTACATATGACAGAGATATTACTTAGAAAGTAAAAAATAAGAATTAGATTCAAAAATCTTGCTTTGATTCATTGGAGGAAATTGCAGCATCATGTATATATGCAAAATTGTAGCTGCAAAAGAGTTTGGCCAGCCTGAAGTAGAGTGAACTAAGAAGTCAAAACTACAATATCAAGAAAGGGATGGAAACTTGGGTTCAATTCAGGCTTAGTAATATTCAAGGAGTTAAAATGCACTGGTGATGCTTACAAGCAGTAAGGTGTTATCTTCATACCTCCATGTTATGTTTTTATGCCAGTTGGACACAGTCACAAGCCTCATGCTTACTGACCCATTAAAGCAAACCAGAGGTATGAAATAGAGTTCATAGCAATTGTCCGTGGTTTCTCCTGCTTTTCCTGCTTCAGTCCATGCCCATCCTCTACCAGACTGTTGATTTCATCTGTTATTCATTTAAAGATATAGCTCCTCCTATTTGGAATTAGTTTCAGCAATGAGTTCCTCCAGCTTCTAAAATGTCCTGCCATTCCTCATCTTTCATCTTTCATCTTTGTCTTGCGCAGATGCCTTCCATTTTCCCACTCATTTCACGCAACCTCAGATAGGATTCTACATCCTGACTGACTCCTCAGAACTCAATTACTGACCCTAAGGCCTCCACTGAGTGGTTATTATGGGAATTAGCTGATATAATTATAATAAATATGAAGCATTTTTCACTATGTAAGGAACATCAAAGACACTCAATTAATGGCAACTGCTACTAGATACAGTGTCCTACAGCAACCAGCAACCAGTTGTAAAGTAAAAGCAAACTGATGCAAATAATTGCTTTGTTGACCAACAGCTTAAAAAATAGGTTGGCTGCGCATATTCTCACTCATAGGTGGGAATTGAACAATGAGATCACATGGACACAGCAAGGGGAATATCACACTCGGGGGACTGTGGTGGGGTCGGGGGAGGGGGGAGGGATAGCATTGGGAGATATACCTAATGCTAGATGACACGTTAGTGGGTGCAGCGCACCAGCATGGCACATGTATACTTATGTAACTAGCCTGCACAATGTGCACATGTACCCTAAAACTTAGAGTATAATAAAAAAAAAAACATTAAAAAAAAAATAGGTTGGCTGTTTTATTTTTATTTAATTAGCTAAGCATTTAGTGTCACAAACAGAATCAATATCAGTGTGTGACAGCTGGTGGTCACCCTTATGTTCATTATGTTTTTATATAGGAACAATTTTCACATCTGCAGAAAAAAAAAGGAGGCATTAGAGAGAAAAGTTGAATATAAGTAGGGTAAGCATATGTCCTCATTACTTGTGACAGTACCAGTGAATACCTGTTATCCTAGCATTATTATTAATAGTGGCCAGTTTCACTCTCCATCATGGCATTATCCAACTGAATTTTCTGTGGTGATAAAAATGTTCTCTATCCAGGCTACCCAATATGGTAGCTACTAGTCAACGTGGCTATTGAGCCTTCAAAATGTGACTAATGCGGCTCAATTAATTGTATTCAACTTCAATTTAAATTTAATTAGCCACATGTAGCTACTGGCTGTTATATTGAACAGTGTAGCTCTAAAGTGTCGTGGTTTAAATGATATGTTCTATGGTCATACTAACGATAAAGTGTATTTGGTGAACTGAAGTCCTTAAGGCCATTTGAGGAATATAATCCAGGTGGAAGAATTAGTCTTAGAAAAGCAAATTGGCCTTCCCACCTCATCAGCAAGAGGGACTGGGAGACCATACATGGAAAGTTTTCAGGTGAAAGAATGGATAATTTAGAAAGCTCATGTCAAATAATCTTAATACATTCAATAAAATAAGATATTTTCAGAAAGTGAAGGGCAGGTGTTTCGGAACCACAAATTACCACACATCAGAGGAGAGAGACAAAAGTTCAAGGGGGAGCTAAACCTTCCTAGCTGTGATAATGGGACCTCATGTTCTTGCTATGTTCCTCATTCCATATATGTTTTTATCATTTCTTACCTACCACAGTCCAATTCACCTCACAAGCTGCACCTTGTGTTCCTGACTCATTAACATGCAACCGGCAAAAAAAGAAGTGACCTTTTCTTGACTAATTTTTTTTCTTCAATTCAACAAGAGCCTGTGAAGTACTGTGCAATTAATAAGAATGTAGGGAGAAGTAAAGGTCTCATTTTATGGTTTAAAAAGGATTAATTTCACAAAGAGGAAACTAGTTAAAATTCTAATAGTGGTTGGTATGCATTCTGTAGCACAGAACCTAATTGAGCCATTTTCTATGTTTTACAAGAATAACAGAACAAGTGGTCGTTTAATTTTTTTCTGTATTGCAATATATTTGAATGTACTTATTCATTAAATCATAATTACGAGTGACATACAGACCTAATTCATTACCATAGCACTTACTGGCACTCAACATGTGACTTGTTAATATTTGTTCTTATTTAAGGGCAAACAGAATTATTTCATTTCAGATATGAAAAGTTATTTTAAATACTTGAACAAACTGAGATTGCCCTATTTTTACTTAAATTTACTTTCCTTCTGCTAAATATCCATAGAAGTTTAATCTAGTATGGCTCACAAATTACAATATTAATTTGGCTTTTTTCTGTTTATATGGCGTTCCCATGACAATTAGCGATATATATTTTATTACTGCCTCCAGAAAATATTACTTTGAGCAGAGGGGGAAAACACTTTTTGCTTTTTTATTTTTCATCTTTCTGAATCTCCAAACAGGCTAACAAAGATAATATTGCTTTCAGAGTCTCTTATTTAAAAAAAAAATACTGGGCCTAGAAACCACACAGCTGGTCTTTTCAATTTTCTTAACTACTGAATTGGATTAGCTGCATGATCTGAGTCAATTGATTGTGCAGAAATCAATGGCTGAGAAGGCTAGATCTTCTCTCCTGGTTGGCCTCATTCCTAAGCCTCTGAGCATGGGATATTCACTCAGCGCACCATCAACTTTTAAAATAAATTGCTTTCTAAGTGCCCAAGTTATAAACCTCAGTGAATGATATTTGTCTCAGTAGTATCCAGTAGATGAGTAACAAATATAATTTAGAAACTTACATTAAAAATAGCATTTATTAAATATTTCTAGTTGTATTTATTATAGGAAAATCTGGATAGTAGAAATATGAAGAAAATATAATCAGCATAATTCAGTCCCCTACTATTAATATTAGGATACTCAGCTTTAGAATCTTTTTTCACATATGTGTGTATATATGTATGTTTTGTCTGTGTGTGTGTGTGTGTGTGTATGTCCCTGTTGTGGGGGTGATGGTAGATAGAATAATGCCACCCCACAAAAGATTTCCACATCCTAATGCCTGGAACCTGTAAATAAAATAGGTTACATGACAAAGGGGAATTAACGTTACAGGTGGAATTAAGATTGCTAATCAGCTGACCTTAACATAGAGAGATCAGCCTGGATTAACTAGGTGGGCCCTGTATAATGGTAAGAATTCTTAAAAGTGAAAGATGAAGGCAGATATAACGTAAGGAGGACTCAACTCACTGTTGATGGCTTTAAAAATAGAGAAAGGGGGCCAAAAGCCAAGCATTGCAGATACACTTGCTAAGCTGAAAAAAGACTACAACTGGCCTCAACCAAATGGACCTAGAAGACATTACAGAACATACTACCAAACAACTGAAGAATATACATTTTTCTTATCTGTGCATGTAATATTATCCAAAATAGACCATATCCTTGGTTATAAAGCAAGTCTCAATAAATTTTTTAAAAATCAAAGTCATATCAAGTATCTTCTCAGACCAGAGTTGAATAAAATTAGAAATTGATACCAAAGGAAAATCTCAAAACTACACAAAGACATGGAAACTAACTAACGTTTTCTGAATGATCTTTGGCTAAACAATGAAATTAAGGTAGAAATCAAAACGTTTTTTGAAATGAATAAAATCATGAGTGAACTCCCATTCACAATTGCTTCAAAGAGAATAAAATGCCTAGGAATCCAACTTGCAAGGGATTTGAAGGACCTCTTCAAGGAGAACTACAAACCACTGCTCAACGAAATAAAAGAGGAGACAAACAAATGGAAGAATATTCTATGCTCATGGATAGGAAGAATCAGTGTCGTAAAAACGGTCATACTGCCCAAGGTAATTTATAGATTCAGTGCCATCCCCATCAAGCTACCAATGACTTTCTTCACAGAATTGGAAAAAACTACTTTAAAGTTCATATGGAACCAAAAAAGAGCCCGCATTCCCAAGTCAATCATAAGCGAAAAGAACAAAGCTGGAGGCATCATGCTACCTGACTTCAAACTATACTACAAGGCTACAGTAACCAAAACAACATGGTACTGGTACCAAAACAGAGACATAGACCAATGGAACAGAACAGAGCCCTCAGAAATAATACCACACATCTACAACCATCTGATCTTTGACAAACCTGACAAAAACAAGAAATGGGGAAAGGGTTCTCTATTCAACAAATGGTGCTGGGAAAACTGGCTAGCCATATGTAGAAAGCTGAAACTGGATCCCTTCTTTATACCTTATACAAAAATTAATTCAAGATGGATTAAAGACTTAAATGTTAGACCTAAAACCATAAAAACCCTAGAAGAAAACCTAGGCAATACCATTCAGGACATAGGCATGGGCAAGGACTTCATGTCTAAAACACCAAAAGCAATGGCAACACAAGCCGAAATTGACAAATGGGATCTAATTAAACTAAAGAGCTTCTGCACAGCAAAAGAAACTACCATCAGAGTGAACAGGCAACCTACAGAATGGGAGAAAATTTTTGCAACCTACTCATCTGACAAAGGGCTAATATCCAGAATCTACAAAGAACTTGAACAAATTTACAAGAAAAAAACAAACAACCCCATCAACAAGTGGGTGAAGGATATGAACAGACACTTCTCAAAAGAAGACATTTATGCAGCCAACAGACACATGAAAAAATGTTCATCATCACTGGCCATCAGAGAAATGCAAATCAAAACCACAATGAGATACCATCTCACACCAGTTAAAATGGCGATCATTAAAAAGTCAGGAAACAACAGGTGCTGGAGAGGATGTGGAGAAATAGGAACACTTTTTACACTGTTGGTGGGACTGTAAACTAGTTCAACCATTGTGGAAGTCAGTGTGGCAATTCCTCAGGAATCTAGAACTAGAAATACCATTTGACCCAGCCATCCCATTACTGGGTATATACCCAAAGGATTATAAATCATGCTGCTATAAAGACACATGCACACATATGTTTACTGCAGCACTATTCACAATAGCAAAGACTTGGAACCAACCCAAATGTCCAACAATGATAGACTGGATTAAGAAAATGTGGCACATATACACCATGGAATACTATGCAGCCATAAAAATGATGAGTTCATGTCCTTTGTAGGGACATGGTTGAAGCTGGAAACCATCATTCTCAGCAAACTGTCGCAAGGACAAAAAACCAAACACCGCATGTTCTCACTCATAGGTGAGAAGTGAACAACAAGAACACTTGGACACAGGAAGGGGAACATCACACACTGGGGCCTGTTGTGGGGTGGGGGTAGAGGGGAGGGATAGCATTAGGAGATATACCTAATGTTAAATGACGAGTTAACGAGTGCAGCACACCAACATGGCACATGTATACATATGTAACTAACCTGCACATTGTGCACATGTACCCTGGAACTTAAAGTATAATAAAATATACATATATATACAGAGAGAGAGAGAGAGAGACAAAACATGCCAAAACCTCTAGGATACAGCAAAAGTAGTGCTAAGAAGAAACTTGATAATGTCAAATGCCTATATCCAAAAGATAGAAAGATCTTAAATTAACAACCTAACGTTGCATCTCAAGGAACTAGAAATACAAGAACAAACTAAACCCAAAGCTAGAAGAAAAGAAATGACGAAGATCAGAGCTAAACAAAAGGACATTGACACCAAACAAAAAGATTTAAAAAAATCAACAAAAGTTGCTTCTTTCAAGGGTAAATTGATAAAATTTATAAATTAATAAAATTGATAAAATGCTAGCTAGATTAAACAAAAAAAAAAAAAAACAGAGAAAGAAGATATTCAAACAAGCACAAAGCACAATAAAAAAGGATAAAGGAGACATTGCAACTGATACCACAGAAATACGAAAGATTATGAGGGACTACTATGAGCGTATTTACGCATGCAAACTAGAAAAACAGAGGAAATGGATAAATTCCTGGAAAATACAAGCTCCCAAATTGAGCCAGTCAGAAATGGAAATTCTGAATAGACCAATAATGAGTAATAAAATTAAATCACTAATTTAAAATCTCTCAACAACAAAAAAAAATCCAGTACCAAATGGATTCACAGCCAAATTTTACCAGATATACAAAGAAGAATTTGTATGAATCTTGCTGAAACTATCTTTAAAAAATTGAGAAAGAGAGATTTCTCCCTAACTCATTTTATAAAACCAGTATCACCTTGATACCAAAATCAGGCAAGAACATAACAACAAAAGAAAACTACAGGCCAGTATGCTTGATGACATAGATGCAAAAATCCTCAGCAAAATACTAGCAAACCAAATCCAACAGTACATCAAAACGATAATACATGGCCCGGCATGGTGGCTCACACCTATAATCCCAGCACTTTGGAAGGCCAAGGTGGGCAGATCACTTGAGGTCAGGAGCTTGAGACCAGCCTGGCCAACATGGTGAAACCCTGTCTCCGCTAAAAATACAAAAATTAGTCAGGCATGATGGCAAGCACCTAAAACCCCAGGTACTTAGGAGGCTGAGACAGGAGAATTACTTGAACCTGGGAGGCAGAGGTTGCAGTGAGGCGAGGTCACACCACTGCACTCCAGCCTGGGCAACAGAGTGAGACTCCCCTAAAAAAAAATAATAATAATATACATTATGATCGAGTGGGTTTTATTGGTTTATTCCAGGGATGCATGGATGGTGGAACACATCCAAATCAATAAATATGATTCACCACATAAACAGAATTAAAAGCAAAACCATATGATTATCTCAAAGATGCAGAAGAAGCATTTGATAAAATGCAACATCCTTTCATGATAAAAACCCTCAACAAAATATGCATTGAAGAAACATAGCTAAAAATAACTAGTCATATATAACAAACCCACAGCCAACATCACACTGAATAGGGAAAACTTTAAAGCATTCCCTCTAACAACTGGAACAAGGACACCCACTCTCACCACTCCTATTCAACACAATACTAGCAGTCCTAGACAGAGGAATTTGGCAAGAGAAAGAAATAAAAGGCATCCAAATTGGAAAAGAGGAAGCCAAATTATCTCTGTTCACTGATGACATGATGTTATACCTAGAAAATCCTAAAGACTCCCCCAAAAGACTCCTAGACTTGATAGATGACTTCAGTAATGTTTCAGAATACAAAATCAACATACCAAAATCAGTAGCATTTCTATACACTAATAACATTCAAGCTGAGAACCAAATCAAGAACTCAATCCTCTTCGAATAGCCATACACACACACACACACACACACACACACACACACACACACACACAAATTCCTAGTAATGCATTTAACCAAGGAGGTAAAAGATCTCTACTACAAAACACTGGTGAAAGAATTCATAGATGACACAAGAAAATGGAAGAAACGTACCATGCTCACGGATCAGAAGAATCGATATCATTAAAATGGCCGAACTGCCTAAAAAATTTACAGATTCAATTCACCTCTGTCAAATTACCAATGTCATTTTTCACAGAATTAGAAAAAAACATTCTTAATATTTATATGTAACCAAAAAAGAGCCCACAGAGCCAAAGCAATCCTAAGCAAAAAGAACAAATCTGGAGGCATCACTCTACCTGACTTCAAATTATATTACAAGGCTATAGTAACCAAAACAACATGATACTGGTACAAAAATAGAAGCACAGATCAATGTAACAGAATAGAGAACCCAGAAATAAAGCCACATAGCTACAGCCAACTTATCTTTGCCAAAGTCAACAAAAATAAACACAGTGGGGAAAGGGTTCTCTATTAAATAAATGGTGCTGGGAAAATTGGATTGCCACATGAAGAAGAATGAAACTGGACCCCTATCTCTCACCATACACAAAAATTAACTCAAGATGGATTAAACACTTGTAAGACCTGAAACTAAAAAAATTCCAGAAGAAAACTCAGGAGGGCCAGGCATGTTGGCTTATGCCTGTAATCCCAGCACTTTGGGAGGCCCAGGCAGGTGGATCACTTGAGGTCAGGAGTTCGAAACCAGCCAACTTTTGGAGGAGTCTTTAGGATTTTCTAGGTATAATATTGCCAACATTGCAAAACCCTGTCTGTACTAAAAATATAAAAATTAGCTGGGTATTGTTGCACACATCTGTGATCTCAGCTACTCGGGAGGCTGAGGCACCAGAATCGCTTGAACCCAGGAGGCAGAGGTTGCAGTGAGCCGAGATTGCACCACTGCACTCCAGCCTGTGTGACAAAGCAAGAACGTGTCAAAAAAAAAAGAAAGAGAAAGAAAGGAAAGAAAGAAAAAAAGAAAGAAAGAAAGAAAGAAAAGAAGGAAGGAAGGAAGGAAGAACAGAAGGAAGGAAGGAGATAGAGAAAGATAAAGGAAAAGAAAAAAGAAAAGAAAGAAAGGAAGGAAGGAAGGAGAGAAATGAAACAAAACGAAACGAGAAGAAAAGGAAAGGAAAAGGAAACAAGAAAAGAAATGAAAAGAAAAACAAAACCTAAGAAATACTCTTTTGGACATTGGCCTAGGCAAATAACATAAGACACCAAAATCAAACTAAACAAAAACAAAAATAGACAAATGGGACTTAATTAAACTCAAAAGCTTCTGCATAGCAAAAGAAATAATAGTATAAATAGACAACTCACAGAATGGTAGCAAATATTTGGAAGCTATGCATCTGGCAAAGGACTAGTATCCAGAATCTACAAGGAACTTAAACAACTCAACAAGAAGAAGTAAATGTCCACATTAAAAAATGTGCAAACAACATTAACAGACATTTTTCAAAAGAAGACATACAAGCAGCCAACAAATATATGAAAAAAGAAGCTCAACATCACTAACCATCAGAGAAATGCAAATTAAAATTACAATGAGATACCACCTTACACCAGTCAGAAGTGCTGTTACTAAAAAGTGAAAAAAAAAACAGGTTTTGATGAGGATATGGATAAAAGGGAATGTTTGTAAAGTGTTGGTGAGGATGTAAATTAGTACGGTCTCTGTGAAAAGCGGTATGGAGATTTCTCAAAGAGCTAAAAATAGAATTATCATTTGATCTAGCAATCCCACTATATGTACCCAAAGGAAAAGAAATCATTATATTAAAATGACACATGCATTCGTATGTTTATTGCAGAATTATTCACAACAGCAGATTCCTGGAATCAACCAAAGTGTCCATCAACTGTTGAATGGATAAAGAAAATGCGGTATATTTGCACCACAGAATACTACTCAGCCATAGAAAGAATAAAATAATGTCCTTTGCAGCAACATGGATGGAGCCTGAGACCATTATCCTCAGTGAAATAACTCAAAAACAGAACATCAAATATTAAGTTTTTACTCATGAGTGGGAGCTAAACAATGGGAACCCATAAACATTAAAATGTAAATAATAGTATAGACTCCAAATGACCTATTAGATACAATGTTCACTATCTGGTGATGGTTACACTAGAAGCCCAAACCTCACCATTAGCAACATATCCACGTAACAAACCTACACAGGCACCCCCTGAATCTATAATTTTAAAAAAGAAATCCTGCAATTAGAAAAAAATATTGTGTACAAATTTAGATTTCTTATACAAAATCGGAAAAATGTTGTCATCTAGTTAAAATCACTGGTTTAACCTATGATCCTGAATGTGACATTAAGATTCAATTTTATTGACACATAACATTGTCATTTGCAGTAGGGATCCAACGCCAGTAACTAAATTGCAGCCCCTTATTTTTTTCATCTTATTATTATATGAAAGACTTCTATGTGAAATGCCAGGAGCGTACAGTATTCAAGAAACACTTCATCCTTCTCTCTGCACTCCACTCATCAGCTTTACTCCTTGGGAGAAGTTACTGATCTGTTGAAAGAGTTGAGAAGAAACATCACCCATTACACCAAATTACCCAGAAACAGAAACTCCATATAAAAATTGTGTTGGCTCATGTGGCCTCTCTTTTGCTCTTCTGAGTCTCCTTCTGCCCTTTGGTAAGCACGCTAGGTCAGGTACTTTCTTATGTGGTTGGAAAATCCAACATTCCTAGGTATAGAAAGCTGCAATTTATCTAGACAAATTAACTGCTGGAAGAAAGGGGATTCTAGCTAGCAGAATGCAATGCTGTCAAAATAGCCATCCTTTAATTTCTAAGAGTATGCTGTAGAGTACCAAAATGTTGTTAGTTCTTCTGAGCATTTGAGGAAGATTTAGGATAAGACTCTTTTCCCTCTACTTATACTTGAATTTCAGTGGTTCTTTAATCTACTTGCAAAATAGAATAATTTGTGGAACTTAAAAACTAGCCAGGCCACCTGGGGGTTCTAATTTCACTGGTCTGAGGTTGACCCTAATTATTGTAAGGACCAATAGGGTATTATAAGGTTGGACCACGATAATACCATTATCAACCAGCTAGTTGTCAAAAGCACAGAGGGAAGAAATGATTCGATTTGCCATGACTATCAAGTCTTGGTAATCTGGAAATCTTTGCAAGGCAACATTAGTGTTTTACTCTGGTGGAATTTAGCAGCTGTCATTTCCAACATAGGTGATTTTTCTAGCATAGCATTATTGCAGCACAATCTCGAAGATGCAAATCTTCATGTTACAGCCCATTGACTTAAGAGAAGCATTTGCTGTCTCATTTGTACTATCTCTGTCTTAAAGGAGGCAGTAGTCAATGGCTTTCTCAACTCCCATTCTGAAGTTGACATTCCATCTATCCCCTTTTCTCTTGAATCTTTCTTCTCACCTTACCCCAAAATATCAACAAAAAGAAACTTAATGAGTAAGATGAGGGGAAGCAGGGCGCTGGGAAAAAAAGTCTAAAATGAAAAAAAAAAGGCAAATGAGATGAGTACCAAAAAAAAAAAAAGACATAGAAAAGAGTAGGGAGAGAATGGGACAATGGAAGTGTTATGCTACAATCTGTGTTTACTTTATGCTTCTCAAGTGTGCAAAATGTCAAAAATAATATTACCTTCCTCATGTGTATTTCTCCAAATAGGAATAAAATGTGATAGGATGGATTAAACAGGATAGAACTACATGGAACCTACAATTAATTTATCATTTTTATCTGTTTTTTTAAGTTAACACTTAGTAGTCAGGATGAGCTACGTTAAAAATCCACCTTTGTATTTAAAAAGTGTTATTTTCTTCCATATATCAATATGTATTTCCCTCTGCAATGTGTTTGTGTGTATATGAATGTGTGGTGTGTGTGTGTGTGTGTGCATGTGTGTGTGTTTGTGTGTGTGGAGACAAAGACAGAGAGACAAACAGGTAAAGAGAGTGAGGTGTTCCACATTACATGTCTCTATTCCATAAACTTTATACTAGATTTTTAAATGTGTTATTCCCCACTGGAAATCCTAATATAATCAAAGAATCTTCACACCATGCAAGTTTCACTGATGCCTAGTCTGGTCTCATTTTACAAATAATGAAACTCAGGAACACAAAATTACCAAGGTCAAATCACTATTCAGTGACCATCTCATTACAAAGATTTTGATGCTTTACAAATCTTTTTCTTCATAACATGTTATAATAAAGAATGAAATGAAGTAAAAAAAGTAATGTGAGTAAAGTGCTTTGTAATATTTAAAAGAGGAAATACTGATTTTTGTGGTCCCAAGCATAAAAACAGCTAAGGAATGTAATATGGTATTTGATCTCATATGTAGATGGATTAAAGTGTCTGGTTGTTGGCCTAGGTGTTTTGATCTGAGAAGTCTAGGAATCACCTCCCCAATCCCACCTTCAGTTAACTCCTAAAACAAAACAAGGATTTGAGACACTTCCAGAAATCCATGTCCTACAGAAGCAATGATTCAATTATATAATCAATTAACTATTTGCCTTTATATTTTTGTACCAATCTAATTATTGTTTATAATAAATATTCTGTCTTCATTTGGCCATTAATAGGTAGAGATATGTTTGTAATTTTTTTTTTTTTTTTGAGACGGGATCTCACTCCGTCACCCAAGCTGGAGTGCAGTGGCACAATCTCAGCTCACTGCAACCTCTGACTCCTGGGCTCAAGTGATCCTCTCCCCTCAGCCTCCAGAGCAGCTGGGAACACAGGTGTATGCCCCAATGCCTGTTTTTTGTTTCTGTTTGTTTGTTTTTTGGTTTATTTGTTTGGGTTTTTTTTTTGTTTTTGGGGGGTTTTTTTTTTTGGTAGAGATGGGGTTTCACCATGTCGCCCAAGCTGGTCTCAAACTCCTGAGCTCAAGTGATCTGCCTGCCTCGGCTTCCCAATGTGCTGGGATTACAGGCATGAGCCACTACCCCTGACCGTGTTTGTAATTTCAAATGTTCCTAAAATTCATAAAAAACACATTTCATACACTGAGTCATGGACTCAGCCAACACATTCATGTGTACACATAAAGCTGAAGTGCTTAAAACTTAGGAGTAGAAAAACAAATACCATCATTGGCAATTGTAGAATTTGACTAGTTATGGCTGCACTATGGTATGTTACTGCATGCTGGTGTTATTTAAACATAATCTATAAAATATTCATAAGAAGGTTTTGGAAGGTTTTTTCAATATTAGGAAGCTAGTCAGACAAATTTTTAACATTTTTTGATACAAATACACAGAGACAGATATAGAAATAGTATATTTTCATGTAAAAATGTCAGAATATTTATATAAAATGTATATAATATAAGCCTTTATGTCTATAGGTAACAATAAATATATATATATGTGTTTCATGTCAAATAAGATAATGGATGTATAAAAATAACTATAAAAGAATTTGATTATTAAAATTATAATTACACACACACACAAAATTCAAATGAAATTTATTCTACTGTAGCTAATATGCCATCCCCGCCAACTACTTGAGACTCTTCTATCTCAAAAGCTTAATGGCTAAACCTTAGAGATTTGATATGCCACCATGTCTTGAGAAATGAGCAAGACATGCTTGATTAGTTTCAAAATGAAGTGTGCATTTCTATGAGACTATTTAGCAGGCTGTGGCTTGCGTGTGTAAAATGTCAGGATTACTAAGTTTGATATGAAGTCAGTGTCTTGGGATCAATTAGTTTAAAGTTTATTAAGAAAAGAAGAAATCTATCATTAGGTATATTTTGAAACACACAAAAAGTACTGAATGAGGATGGCAACATGTTTAATTCAATATGCATCTTCATAGAGGCTGTCAAATGGCTCTAAAAGTTCTGATGCATCATAGGTCCTATAGGTGTCTTTGCCAGCTTTGGATACCTCTTCTTTTACCACATTGTGACAATCCAGTAGTTGTGCTCTGATTGCCTTGAAGTTTAATGTACTTCTATTTTGAGGCATTTACTGAATCAAATTCAGAACCATGCAGCTTGAGGTATAGGAGCACTATCATTTTTCTTTATTCTATTAAAAAGGTCTCTCATCTTCTTCCTATATATTTTCCCTAGCCAGAAAAGAAAATATTGCTGTCACTTTCAGTGGGATTTGCCTTTCATCTCACAGTAGCATTTCAGGTCTCTAAGTGGTATCCAATTTATTTGTATTCCAATGCCACTTCACTGAAGCATGCCTCTCTGTCAGCTGAGCACAAGATTCAGGTGCTCAGTACTTGGAAGCCATGCTATGAACAAATTGACAATATCAACTGCAGCTAGTCATCTTGCAAGCAATTTTCACTATCTGCAGGAGAAGAGTTCTCAAAATTATTTAGTAGCTCTATCTATAATATTTTTGAAGGTATTCCAAGGTTCCTTTCCTTGACTTTCTCAAAGTATGATATTTTTGTTTTCAATTATCTTTTATCATATTGAAGATGCATTTTAGTATAATTTTTATTCTCCTAAAACTAGTCTTTATTTAATATGTTTTTAATCTCTTCAAATTTTTACAATTTACTATTAAGATTAAACTTTATTCCTTGTAATTTACACCGTATGTCAAAAGGATTATTACTTCATAATTTTATGATGTCTAAAATCTGAGGGATAGTCCAGAATTACAATATGCATAGCATAGCATAGTGTAATATTACAGAACACCATATTTTCCTACTCCCCTTTTTGCATCGTTCACCATATACTCATTCACTTCAAAAGGATGCAATAATTACAGCTCATTGTGTGACTAGTATACTATGTTTAAAATATTCCTTCTCATTTATGATGGATTGACTGCAAATTTTTCACTCTTTCCTTGCAATGTTCCTTTGCCGTTTCTCCCATCATGGCCTAGAGCCTGCTTCAGTGCTCCTTTGAATCTGGGCTGGCTTTGTGGCTTGTTTCTCACACTAAAATGCAAGAAAGTGACAGAGTGCCAGTTTCACACTTAGGCTACAAATGCCTTTGTGCTCCTCCACTCTGTCTTGGGATTCCTACGTCTACCATGAGATCAAACTCAGGTTCGCGTTCTGGAGGATGAGATGCCACTCGGAGCAGAACCATTTTTTCCAGCAGATTCATGTAAATCAACCTATCATCACCCAACCCCAGGTGACCACAGATGATGAGTAAGCCTAGCCAAAGTCACCTGAGCCCAGTGCAGCCAACCTATAGAATCATAATAAATAATAAGTTATTGAAATTTGTGTTTAGATAGAGTGCAAAAAAATGGCCTTACATTGGGCTAAGACACATCAAATAGGCCAAAGAGAAGGCATATCTTCTAGATATCTGCAGGAAAATTAAAGATATGTCTAACCATATACTCTCATTTTCTCCAAAAAAGATATTTAAATTTTTATTTAATTTTCAAAATTAATATCTTGTGTTTAGGCACCACTGAGGAACTGAAGAATGCAACATGAAGAAACCAATATTTAAGTTGGGTTTTGAAGGAGGAAGATCATTTGTAAGACAAAGAGGGAACACAATAGTCTCAACAACAGAATGAAGCACTTGAGCAAAGATGAAGAAGTGGGCACGGCTAGAATAAAGTTGCACATAGAGGTTAATGGAAGAAGAGACTGAAAAATGGGTTGGGACTATATTGTAAAAGGCTTTCTCAGGCAAGTTAAGAAATTTGGGCCTAATTTTGTGGGCATTAAAGAGAATTATTCTGATAAAGGAGTGATGATAATTTAGGAGACAGAGTGAAGAATGGTTTAAATGAGGGTGATTAGATGCAGTGAAATCAGATAAGATGGCTATTTTAAGTGTGCAAAGGAGATATGATGATGGCTTCAAAGGCACTGTCAGGAAAGATGAGAAGAACTAGTTTCAATAATTTTTTCAGAGTTAAAATTACTAGAATTTAAAGACTTATTATTGATAATTTGGGTTAGGAAAGGAAGGAGGAAAAGAGAGAGCAAAACAGGCTAGCATTTTCTCTAGATTTCCAGATTAAAAGATGGAGGGGGATTGTGATACTTCCACTAAAATAGAAAATATCAGAATAGAAACTTACTTTAAGAGGAGAAACAAATTATTTTCAACATATTAATTTTAAAGTAGCTTGAGGACATACAGGTTGGCATGGTGATTAAAAAAAAAGATAAAGCTGAAGTTAATGAAATTACAATTGTCTATCTCTGCATTTTGATGGCAATTAAAGGCATGGAAGCCTGAAATACCCAGAGGTCATGTTAGAGTGAGAAAAAAAGAGAGTCAAAGAATTGAACTCTGGTGAATACAATAATCTAAAAGAACAAGCAAAGGAGAAGAAGCTACTAAAGGACACTTAAAGGCAACTTTCCAATGTTTATAAAAATTTTAAGATAATAATGACCTGGAAACTGAAGGCACAAATTCCACAAGGAGAGGGTGGTGAAGAGTGTCAAGTGCTAAACAAAAGATGAGTCAAGATGAGGTTCAAAAGGGCACTCCTATTGGCAGTTAAGAGGTGACTGCAGGAAGAGCAGCTTTCTCAAGCACTAAACATGCCCTTCTTGTTAGAAGTAGTTAATGGATAGATAGTAATTATTTTGAAAAAACAGGGCTTAAGCTACGTTGTTATACATTTCACTGAAGAATTGAAGGAGGGAGATTGGGCTTGAAGGAAAGATAGATGAAAGTTGAGAATATCTGAGCTTACTTATAATCAGAAGGGAAAGGATTCTTGAAGAAAAAGACTAACCAGGATTCAGACAGCTCACAGGATGTGGTCTCTGTGGTATGGACGTAGCAGCTACTTCAGAAAATAAGCAAAGGCATCTCTACCTCTGGGTCATAAGGGAAGAATGGGTGTCCCTATAAGAATGTCTACAAGAGGGAATGCAAAGTCATGGATATCCCACCTGATAATCTTTTCTCTGTGAGGTAACAATCTATAGAGCATGATGGCATTGAAAGTACAATAGGATTCAGAATAAAGGCTTTGGTATAGACATTATGGAAACTCAAAAGGAAATTGAAAAGAGACAGAAAAATGATTTCCAAACAGTTCTGATGGCTCAGTAGACACTGACAAATCCGAAATTTATAGTCGTAATGATGTATAATCTGTGTGAAGTCAATGTCAGTAGTGGAGGAAGTGGATTGTTGGATTCATTTTAGTGAAAACAGAAAAAAATAGTGTGGATAAAAACACTAAAAGTCATAATGACACTGTTTTGAAGACAGACTGCAGCCGAGCTAGAAGCCTGGAGTGAAGCAAGAGTGCAGCTTATATTTACAAAGGGGATTGAAAATGCAAGTTCAATCCTCTCGAATCCAATACTACTTCAATTCTGTTATGGTGAAAATAGCTTTTACATTGGCCTTTTCATATATAAAAAGTTACAATTTAATTTACTTATGCCTGTTCTACTTAAAAACTCAGTTCAGTTTTTCTGTTTTGGATATTTTACTATCACTCTTTTAGTGAACATTCACAATTATAACCTACATAAAACATAATTTCCTCTGATAGTAAGGCACTATTTTATTTACCTTTCCCATGCTAAACTAAATGTCAAGCATAGTTCAGCAAAATAAATCAATAAATCTCAACAGACACAAATGCTTATTTTATTAATGCCAAATTTAACTCCAAATTAAAATTATGTGAGATTGACATTGTGTACATATTTCAGATAAACTAATTTTCCTTTTTAATATCAAATACATAAGGAGAGTAATTAAAGCATTTGTTGCCCTTTTCTCCTGGTTCCATATGTATGGACTGAGAAGATAATAATTAAAATGAATTTGCTCAACTCCAACAGACAATATAAAAATATGAAGATAGATAGACAGATGGGAAATAGATGGATAAACAGATGGTCATATCACTTTGGAAAAATAAAGTTAAAACTTGCTTGTCATTCAAATTAACAGTGAACAGCATTCTTTAAACTTGCACCTTGGATCAGAGCTAACAGTATAAGTGCTAAACCATAGCACTATATCATGTGACCTTTAAAATAAAAACAAGTACAAAGACTATTTCGAGATTTTTACTTCAGATCTCAAACAATTCAAAAGACTGCTGATACAAGTAATTTCCATGTTTATGGCAGAAAATAAAATTTTATAATTAATATATTTATAAACCAAAGATATCCAGAAATTAGTTTACCTTCCCTACTCAGGATTGAGGTTCAAGGGAGAACTGTGTTTTTAAAGGGACTGAAACCTTGAAGAGGTCTTTCACATCACTTGTAAGTTGGATTCCTAGGTATTTTATTCTCTTTGAAGCAATTGTGAATGGGAGTTCACTCATGATTTGGCTCTCTGTTTGTCTGTTATTGGTGTATAAAAATGCTTGTGATTTTTGCACATTGATTTTGTGTCCTAAAACTTTGCTGAAGTTGCTTATCAGCTTAAGGAGATTTTGGGCTGAGACGATGGGGTTTTCTAAATATACAATCCTATCATCTGCAAACAGAGACAATTTGACTTCCTCTTTTCCTAATTGAATGCCCTTTATTTCTTTCTCCTGCCTGATTGCCCTGGCCAGAACTTCCAACACTATGTTGAATAGGAGTGGCAAGAGAGGGCATCCCTGTCTTGTGCCAGTTTTCAAAAGGAATGCTTCCAGTTTTTGCCCATTCAGTATGATATTGGCTGTGGGTTTGTCATAAATAGCTCTTATTATTTTGAGACACGTCCCATCAATACCTAATTTATTGAGAGTTTTTAGCATGAAGGGCTATTGAATTTTGCTCTATTTTGCAAATAGAGCAAAAACTAGCCACCATAACAAGGAGAGGAAAGCCTAAGGCAAAAGAAATTAATCTGGCTTATATTATTTTAAAAAAAGAAATTAAGGCTTACTTGACTTTACACTACGCCATGCATAGGTTTCAAAATATAATTTAAAAGAGCATAAAAGGCCAATATAGATAACTTTGTCACTAACATACTTATGTTCTTGCTTATGTGGTCTGTAGTTGGTTAATAGAGCTCCTAATAAAGCTTGGTAATGGCTGTCAATAAAGTCATAATTTGGCCGTCAGTAGCCATTCTGAGTATAGTTTTCATAATCATAGACTAATACATCAAGAAAAAGAGAAGATTGCATCATAATACCTGTTGTCTTGTTAGTATCATGTAGTATCTGGAACATAGTGGATGATCAATGTAAATCTGAAAGTATAAAGGAATAAAATGAGAATATAGTTTTCATTCACTTTTAGTTTAAATATAATTTTGATTACATATCAATAATAGAAAATATTTATCTGAATTTTAACTATATTTATGAGGTATTAAATAATATGCCTGAGATCCACTGAGAGCCAATGCAATAAGGATAGAAAAAAACTTTAATTAAAAAAATTAAATAAAGCATTGACATTATAAATAGAGGAGTGTTAATGGTCATTCAAGGTAGCAGGCATTAAGATACAATTAATTATGTATCAAGCCAGTACAATGGCCAGAGTGTTAAGAGGTAGGCTCTGTAATCAGGGAGACCTGGGTTTGAATTCCAGGTGACAACTTTACTAACTCTGCAGGTCTAGAATTTGCTTCTACCCTACTTGCAAGCTAATAAATTAGCCTGTAACAGAGATGTAAGTTTCCTGGATCAGAGACAAACGTCTTTATTACAACACAGAAAGCAGCATAAGCATCAGCATATTTGCATTGGCTCCCCTTGACCCTAAGTCCCACCAGTGCAACGTAATAGACCATGATGGAAACTACACAAGCAGCGGGTTTATGTCACAAATGAGAAAACTGAGTTTGGGGATCCACTGGTTTTATAGCAATAAGTAAGCAAGCCTGTTCTTTGTCCAAGTGAGAAAAGAGACATAGTTTCATCTCTCAATCAGAAGAAATATTCCAGTTGTCAGGGACTTAGAGTCTGGCCCACCCAGCAAGATATGTAAGAATGCAAGAGAACCAAAGAGTATTGTCTCTGCAAACATTATCTTACACATTTACTAATTTATTCATTCACTTTCTCTCCCTTTTCACCTATTTTATTTTTCTTCATTATTCCTCTCATCGACTTTTTTATATTGTTTGTTTCTCCCACCAGAATAGAAGCTCTAAGAAGGCAGAATGTGTTTTCTTCACTGTTACATTGATAGAATTACTATATATATACTTGTTTTATAAAATATATATTTGTTTTATTTTTGTAATGTCATATTTAAATATTTATCAGTTCCTAAAAGCTGGTTGCTTTTCTAGATATCAAGGATATGGCAATTAACAAGATGAAGAAGGTCCCTACTCTAACCTTCTAAATCTTTATCAGTAAAAAGTGGCCTATAATAATGCCTACCTATATGGTTACTGAGAGGATTTCATGGATAATACAAGTGAAATATTTGGTAAAATTTTTGTCCTATAGTAAGTGCTCATGGATATTAGCAGTTATTTATTCAAATATAATGCTTCTGCCATGGATAGTTTTTGCATCTCACTATTTATATTTTCAAATGTGTTACTACATGTTTTAAATTTTTATTTTTATTATTTGTTTAGAGATGGGGTCTGGCTATGTTGCCCAGGCTGGAGTGCAGTGGCTATTCACAAGCACAATCATTGCATACTATAGCCTGTGGCTCCTGGTCAAGCAATCCTTCTGCTTTAGCCTCTCGAGTGTCTGGGTTTACAGGAATGTGCCACAGCACTCAGCTTACATTTTTATATTTAAAATAAAATGTTCAAACACACAGACTCATATAAAGCATAGTACAACACAGGATTAATTGATGTAAATTTGTTACCATTTTTTCTTCAGATTATCAAATAAAGAAAAAAATTACAACTAATGCCCCTGTCTCTTTCTCTTCTCCCCCTCTCCAGAGTTAACTATGTCATTTCCATTCATGTTCTTGTACAATTGGGGATAATTTTTGTATCTTTAAATAAATGCCATCATACTGAATATACTATTTTGCAACTTTTAAAAACTTAAATTCAAACAGCATTTCCTTTAAGATATCTGTCAAATCTTCTTGATTCTTCCCAAATCATCTCAATGGCATATTTGTGAGGAGTGAAAGAGTGTGAAATGGTACCTAGGTTTGTCATAATAAAAACATCTTACTAAATCCTGTGCTCTGCACTTTTAATGTCTTTTACTCTCACATATAAGTTTTACCAGTATACTAATCTTGCATTAAGAAATGGTCAGATTATAAACACTATGACTTTAAGACATTGACCTTTTAAGAAAATTTTATTTGGAACATTTTTCTTCTTATCTCTAATTCACACTTCAGAGACTGATTAAAATCTTGCTAATTTCACTTGCAAACTATATCGCTATTACTGGTATTTACTGCACTTAACCTTCACCTTTCTGAAAGTAACATTAAAGTGTTATTTGCATAAATGAAAATCATTGCATTTGAATGCCACCCTGACTGTATATATTTTAACCACTTCTCCATAAATGACATTACAAAAACATTGTTGAAAAATGTCATTTTACAAGGCTATTGAAGTATGTTTCAAAAAAAAAAAAAACTACTTTTGATTTTCATGTTACAGATGGATCTTTATACAACGTAAATTCAATGTAAATGCTTGCTGTTAGTTTTCCTACTACTCAGACTCTCACTTATTGGTGTCCTATTTTTTTAAGACTTTTAATGTTTTTAGAGCAGTTTCAAGTTCACAACAAAATTGAGAAGAAGGTACAAAGATTTTCCATAGACTCCCTGCTCCCACACATGCGTAGCCTCCCCAATTGTCAACAGCAACCACCACAGGGATACACTGTTACAATTTATCAACCTACAATGACACATCATAATCACCCAAAGTCTACAGTTCACATTAGGGACTACTCCTAGTATTGTACATTCTATGGGACTGGATAAATGCACAGTGCCATGTATCCACCATTAGAGTGTATCCACCATTATAGTATCATATAGAATATTATAGTTTTGCTGCCTTAAAAATCCTCTGTGTTTTGCCTGTTTATCCTTCCCTCCTTCAAACCCCTGGCAACTCTTTCTTACTTTTGTCCCATAGTTTTGCCTTTTCTCAAATGTTATACAATTGGAATCATACAATATACAGCTTTTTCAGATTGGCTTCTTTCACTTAGTAATATGAATTTGTTTCCATGATGTATTTTTATACCTTGATAGTGCATTCTTTTTTAGTGCTGAATAATATTCCATTGTCTAGACATACTACAGTTTATTTACCCATCCACCTACTGAAGGACATCTTGGTTGCTTCAGAGTTTTGGCAATTATAAACAAAGCTGCTATAAACGTTGATGTGCAAGTTATTGTGTGGACACAAGCTTTCCACTCCTTTAGATAAATACCACGGATCACAATTGCTAGATCAAATGGTAATGGTATGTTTCATCTTGTAAGGAACTGTCAAACTATCTCCCAAAGCAGATGTACCATTTTGCATTTCCACCAGTAACAAAAGGGAGTTCCTGTTGCTCTACCTCCTTACCAGCATTTCTAGTGTTATTGTTCTGGATTTCAACCATTCTAATAGGTGCATAGCCATATCTCACTACTGTTTTAATATTCATTTCCCTGATGGCATATGATGTGGAGCATTTTTATATGCTTATTAGCCATCTGTATATATATTTCTTGGTGAGGTATCTGTTAAGGTATTTGTCCCATTTTTAATCGATTGTTTGTTTTCTTAATGTTGAGTTTTAAGAGTTCTTTGTATATTTTGGATAACAGTCCTTTATCAGGCGTGTCTTTTAAAAATATTTTCTCCCGCTCTATGGCTTGTCTTCTCATTCTGACAGAGTCTTTTGCAGGGCAGAGGTTTTTAATTTTAATGAAGTCTAGCTAATCTATCTTTCATGAATCATACTTTGATGTTGTATCTAAAAAGTCATGCTCACCATACACAAGATTTCTCCTATGTTATAGGAGTTACATAATTTTGCATTTTACATTCAGGTCTATCATCCATTTTGAAGTTAATCTTTTCTGAAAGTGTAAGAGCTGTGTCTAAATTAACTTTTTGACATGTGGATGTCCAGTTGTTCCAGCATCACTTGTTAAAATCACTACCCTTACTCCATTGTCAAAGACTGCCTCCATTGTCTTTGCTCCTCTGTCAAAGATCAGTTGCCTATATTTATGTGAGCCTTTTTTCTAGGTTCTTAATTCTGTTCCATGGCTCTATTTGTCAATTCTTTCACCAATACCGCATTCTCTTAATTACTATGGTTTTATAGTAAGTATTAAATTTGGGTAGTGTCAGTCCTCCAACTTTGTTCTCCTTGAGTATTTTGTTGACTATTATGGGTCTTTTGCCTCTCCATATAAACTTTATAATCGTTTACGATATCTACAAAAATAATTTGCTGAGAGTTTTATTGGGATTGCATTAAATCTTTAGAATAAGTTGGGAAAATGGACGTCTTAATGATATTATGTCTTCCTATCCATTAACATAGAATATCTCTCCATTTACTTAGTGTTTCTTTGTTCTGCCATCAGTTTTGTAGTTTTTTTCATATAGACCTTGTACATATTTCATTAAATTTATACTTCAGTGGTTCATTCTGGGGGGTGATAATAGAAATGATATTGTTTTTAATTTCAAGTTTCACTTGTTCATTGCTAATATATAAGATGGTGATTGACTTGTACATATTAACCTAGTATTCATCAACCTTGCTATAATCACTTATTAGTTGCAGGAGTTCTTTGTCAATTTTTTCAGATTTTCTATATGGAAAATCTCATTTGTAAAAGACTAGTTAGGTTCCTAGAGAAACTTAAGCAGAATATTGATGTGCAGAAACAACTGCCATGTTGATGGTTTCACATTCTTTAAATTGTCAAGTGTGCTGTTAAAAAAAAAACATATGTCACAATGATGTGATTTACATGATAAAAAGTTCTTTTATTGGTGTACAGTTAAGAAATTATATTGAAGAACTTTCTCCATAACTAGTGAGAGTATTTAAAATGTTAAGCCCATAAATTAATGTTCTGGTTGTCCCTTTTACTTGTCTGCTCAAGCTGCTATTACACAATATCATAGCTTGGGTGATTTAAACAATATACATTTATTTCTCACAGTTCTGTATACTGGGAAGTCCAAGATCAAGATGCTGCCTATTTTGGCTACTGGTGAAGACCCTCCTCCTGGCTTACGGATGGCCACCTTCTCACTGTATCCTTAAAGGCAGAGAGAGAGAGAGAGAGAATGAGAGAGACAGAGAGAGAGATTGAGAGAAAAAATGTTACTCTCTTTCTAATAAGGACACAAGGACACTAATTGCATCATGCAGGCCCTACTGTCATGAACTCAACTAACCCTAAGTAGCTCGCAAAGGCTACAACTCCAGAGACAGTCACAATGAAATGAAGACTTCAGTATATAAATTTTGGGTGGAGAAATAATTCAACCCATATCACCCCAAAGATATTTGTATGTTATATATATGTATAACTTTCTTCACTTCTTTTTTAATACAAAACTCTTTACTTCTCATTTTTCTGTCTGTATTTGAAGACAACAAAATAACTTCTTTAAATCACTTTACTTTTAAGCATACTTAAGTTTTTAAAATAAATTTTGCTGAAAACAGTGGGTAGTAATAATAATAGCTAACATTTATTGAGACTTGCCAATGGCATAGGCAGAGGCAATGTTCTAAGAGCTTTCAGGTATTAAACATGTTTAATTCTCATGAAAACTCTATTAGGTAGCCAATATTATTTTCATTTTACAGAAAAGAAAACTGTTTCTAAGAGAGTCTAAACAGCTTGTTTGGAAACACATAAGCGGCCAAGTTTTGAAGCTATGCAGCCTGGTTCCAGATCACATACTCCTAATCATACACCTATAATGTACCTATACTATTACAACATTAGATAATAAATACTTTGTCTTGTTTTAAGACTACAAATTTAAAGGATAATTGGAAAAGTTTCTCTTGCCTAGAGAAAAATACAATTTTTTAAGAGAATGTTTCATAACTATGTGTATTACACTTACTGAAATAGTTATATTTGTACTTCCCCGAATCAATGTATACTAAATATGCTTCAAAATAAATCTGAAGAAATATGTCTCCTTAGACATCAAACGATAGGCAATAACTGGATGTATATCTGATGGAAGTATTTTCCCGCATATTCGATTAATATTTTAAATTATGTGCTATGGTTAATTATAACACATCAAAAATAATTGAAAAGTTTTCTTATATTGTACAATTAATAAAATATTACAGACTTGTAAAATCTATAATAAATCATTTTTATTTACAACTCTCAGGCATTGGTGCCATTTACTAATATAATATGCATAACCTACAATTGCTTTTTAGTCTTTAATAGGTTAATCTCTTCTCACAGACAAATTGCAGGCACAAACTCACCTTAGCTGCTTTAGCATACCCACTTTACATTTGATTTGTCTAACTCAAAGGTCTTTACATAACAACAACAAAAAAAATCTACTCATGTAAATTTACTCTTCCAGGTAAAATAGTATAATAACAAACATATGGGTTACATAGACCATACCAGATGGTGTAGGCCTGTGCTCACATAGTTTGTGCAAAGAGAACAAGATAGAGCACAGTGTTGTAAATCTTCATTTGTACTCTGTCTGGAACAGAAGTTTTTATTGTTCCATCAAACTGTCCAATCTATTACTAAGATCTGTCACATTTTCTTTTATAACATTTATTTATAGCGAAAAATTTCTACCAGTTTTCTGTCATTTGAATCACTGCCATGTGATCCTCATGATCTGCCTTAGAAGTAGCCCACAACATTATTGTTTAATTTCTTCTTCAACCACAATTGCTATCCTATCCTAAAATCACACACTTTATTTATAGATACAGGACAACTTTTTCACCCTTGTATTTTCCCATCATAAATGTTGCTGCTTGGATTGTACTAACTAAACAACAGACAAAGCACTTTTAATTGTCATTGGTTCCAGATTGGGAAGTTTTCTGGTCTGTTCTTGGCAAGGGTGGTGACAACAGATGCTAAAAAAGCTGATATTCAGAAGCTGGACATTAGATGCTACAAGGAAAGTGCACTGAGTCTGTATCAGAACAGAATATGATTATCTTGCCATGTACAGGTACCACTCTAACTGTAAGACGAAAGAAAGGTAAACAAAACTCAATAATATCACATTCAAAGAGTCTAAAGATATCTATTTTAAATACATTTAAACATGGATTCATTGATAGAAAAGACTGGTCTCAAGATCTTTTCTTTCAAAAAGGGTATACATGAGGCAGTAATTTAGATAGCTAAATATTAGGTAGGTTAAATTATATGATATTACCATTTTAGTAAGTCAAAAAGATCAAGTATCAGCAGTTTCATAAGGTTTTGCCTAATACTGAGGTTATGAAATACAATGACCCTAATTTTTATTGAGAATAATGAGGACCATCATTATGCAAATAGATGGCAAAAACAGCAAGACACAGTATCTAATGTCACATCATCTAACTCATTCGTCAGGATAAGGTCTCACGCATTACCTTCATTTTCAGCTATTGCTTACGTCTCACAGTTCCCAGAAGACTGTCACAGAGAAGATTAAAAAGTGGCAATATAAATCACAACTTCTCCTATCTAATGCCATAGTTTCCAAACATTACGCTGACAAATGATGAGAGTATTATAAACTCTTCAGCTCAATAATACCACACTCCACAAGTAGTTAGCAAAAATAGGGTGAAACACAACACATTCTGAAACAAATGCCAAGGCTAAAAATACTGCTTCCAAGTCTATAAACTTATTACATGCTATTAGAAAGTGCCAACAGTTTTCCTTTCCCAGTACTTTCATTTTACTTTAAATCGATTGGAATTACCACATTAAATCTGTGCCTTTGAGAGCTCAGCATGGGACTAAGCAGTCAGATTAAACACAGTATGGTCGGCAAACTCACACAATAGAATTATTTGTTCTTGTCATTCTAAGCTCTTCACTTGAATCCCCGTGTATTTAAGGAACACACTGCTTTCAAAGCACTGCATTATGTGCTATGAAGAAAACAAAAATTATAAAACTTTTTCCCTGAAAGAGTTTACATTCTAATTTTAGAGACAAGATATGAATGTTTCTGTGGGTTTTGTTAAATAAATTTACTTTAAATGGCATGTTAAGATAGCAAGTAAGAGAAGTGTCGTGAGGCAGTACATGATTGTCATACGTGTATAGTACAAATGCTAATTAATGTTAGAATTCAGGGAGGGAAAGACCGCTCCAGGAAATACTTGTGCATGAAGTGGGATTTTGTGCTTCTTTTATGGTATCATTGGTGTTTAGATGAGGAAAAAGGGAGAGCAATTGCTTTCAATCTGGATCCTGTGGGCTCGGGCTAGTTTGATCTTGAAAATGAGAGAAAATAGAAAGCCTTTGTGTCTCCCCAAAATTCATATGTGAGAATCCAAACCCTTGAGCATTAGGAGGTAGGACCTTTGGGAACTGATTAGATCACAAAGGCAGAGACCTCATGATGGGGATTAATGCCCTCATAAAAGAGAACAGAGAGAACTGGTTAACCCCTTCCACTATGTAAGGACACAGCAAGAAGTCACCATCTATGAACCAGACAGGGAGCCCTTTCCAGACAATGAATCTTCTGGTGCCTTGATCTTAGACTTCCTAGCCTCTAGGACTGTAAGAAATACATTTTTCTTGTTTATAAACGACGTAGTTTATGTTATTTTATAGTCGACCAAACAGACTGAAACAGTGCTCAAAGAAAATGAATAATTTATTCAAGGTCATAAGATAAAACCTAAAATCTGGAACCTTAAGCCAAGTCTTCCTGCAGAAAGGCCAATGTTTTTTTTTAAAATATCATCCCAATACACTGTTTCCAATTACATTTAGAGATTTACAATTCCCACAGCATACCTTAAAAAATAATGCCAACTTCAACGGGGAAAATACAGTCGTTAGGATATATGTTGATGAGTTGAATCAATCTAATCAATCAGTCAATCAAAGGCACTCCTCCACATTTTCTCCCCGAATACAGATGTCTTTAGTTTCTTATAGGAATCATTCTGTAAAATTCAGTAACTTTGAGTTTTCAGTCCTAAATTAGATAACCATGATGTTTTAAAAGATGAATTACCTAAAAGATGCTGTTAGAATAAGGATTTAAAGAAACATATTGATTTGGCCATGCACGGGTGCGTCTTTAAAAGCTTTAATATTCTTTTGGCTTATTTAGAATAAAGTTTTATATTTACAGACTTCCAAAGTCAGCTCTAGTTATGCCAAAAACTGTAAAATGTCTGAGATTGCATTCTCTTGTTAGCCACTCTGTCACTCTGTCGCAGTTTCATGAATGTTGGTAGAACACCTGAGACTCCTAGAGCAGAGATGAACAGTTTTTCACCCACATCAATAGCAGTAGCCACAGTATCAGCATTTTGGGGCTGGTTACCAAAGCCTCAATTAACACAGAGTAACGTGAAGAGAGCCAACTGACACAAGCCCACGCAACGGGTTGTGTTACAGGAAAGGAACCCGAGCTTAGAGAATCAGGAGCTTTAATGATGGCAGTAATTGTGTTTACCATTTGCTCCAGAGACATTTTTATTGTACTAGATAGTAAGCATGGCTGTACTTTGATCTAAAGAGAGATCCTCTCTGTCTTCCAAGGTACGATGCCAACATCCAGAACAAAGGACAGTCAAAGTTTTGCTTATACGATGTGCAGAACCACTAGAAACCCACGGAAAATTGTCTCCCAACAATCGATCCACACCTGATTCAAGCTGCCTGCTAGATTGTTCCAAAATTTGTTTTATGAGTTGAACTGTTTAGTTAAGAATCTAACTACTTCATATGTTCCTTCGTTGCATGTAATTTTACTGGTAATGTAATTTATGTTATTCTCTCCATGGAATTTCATTGGAAAGAAAAGTCAAACTGCCATGATAAATATGAATTTAATCTGTTTGCTGAAACTATTCCTTCTCAAAAACAGAAACTTGATTCTTTCCTGAAGGTTCAAACCTCACTCAGGTTCTAGGGTAAACACAGTCCCATTTCAGACCTCAAGTGATCCCGTGTTCATTCAACCTTGCTACACACCTTCTTGTTCCCTAAGATGTCGACCTTGATAACTGCACCAGTAGATCTGTTTTTCTCAGTCTGAGATTTTGTTTTGTTCCTCCAGAAACTCCAAGACCTAAGTCCTGGACCTACACCCATCCCAGTCTCTGGGTCATGCTCCAGCTGTGAGAATTTTGTAACTGACTAGTTGCCTCCATTGTCAACACGTTTATCCTACTGCCACTCTCCTTGGTCCTTTGCCCACCCTCTTTTTGGTTAATGTCTTCTGTTTGGGCATTAACCAAATTCCTTTGAATGTTTTTTTAATCACTGATCTGAGATACCAGCTTTCTACTATCACCACACTACCCATTCATTTGTTTATTCAACAAGTAGTTCCTAAAGGACAACTAAGCTTGCAGATCTGAGCCAGGATGTGATTTTGCAATGGAATCCCAAAATACTATAACTGACTGACCCTGATTACCTGACTAGTACCGTCTATTATCTACTGCTGAGGAGATATCAAGCTCCTGCCCTGAGCAGTGTCTGTGCTCTGGGTCTGGCACTAGACCTTAAAAGTCCACTCTGAGAAATATCATTCTTTGTTAGTACCAGATCCTCCCTTAAATTCCCAATTTCTTTCATAATTTTCTGTTTGAAAGACTTTGTTTGTTCTGAACACTTTAATAGCACTGGATGTTGCAACCCTTAGTTAAATTTCTCATAACAGTTTTCTTGTAAAATACTAAATTAGAGAGATCATGATGTCATTTGCCATAGTATGCTCAGTTCACAGTTATTATAAGGTGTTGTCACCTACAAAAATCTAGCATTTGCACCTGTACAATGCAAAAAATTGTTTTCCAATATTAAGGTCTTCTAATATTTTGAAGGTAGATTAAATTTTCATTAAAGCTTCATTCATTCTTATACAATTCCACAAATGGAACTACTTACATATATTCACATCCTCATAAGTCTCCTCTTGTCTACAAAACAGTACTATACAGCTATCTGATTTAAAAACCTTTTGTTTCTTAAAACAGCTTGCCTTCTCAGATTGTATATGTATATATTTAAGAGTGTAAGTTTCTGTGTGTGTGCTCCCTCTGATGTGGGTTTTTATGCTTCACTGCCAAAGTAATACTTACCAATTTCTAATCATCTTTAAAGGAAAAAAAGTTATTTACTTGGAAATATTCACAGTTTAGAAAAATCTGAGCCATAAGTCAAACAAAATGTTGGAGGATTGTAAACCCAATAACATAAAATAAACTCCAAAATGTGTGCGAATATAGTCAATATATATCTAACACAGTGTGGATAATATATACCCTTATTATAACAGGTTATCTGATCTACACAGGTCAATGATTAGAAAAATAAAATCCTCATCACATGAACCACAATTAAAGCTATTTTGTTTACTAGTTACAGAAATTGGCAAAGATCATCATAACCTCATGGTAGTTCAATTCTGCCAGAAAAGCACAAAGCCAAATAATCAGGAAACAATTTCTATTTTAAATCATTCAGGGTGCCAAGACAAAGTACTATAGACTGGGTGGCTTATAGATGGCAGAAATGTATTTCTCACAGTTCTGGAAGCTGGAAGACCAAGATCAGGGCACCAGCATGGTTGCATTCTGGTGAAGGTCCTCTTCCAGGTTTCAGACCGCCATTATCTCACTGTATACTCACATAAAGGAAGAAGGCTAGAGAGCTCTCTGTGGTCTCTTTTGTAAGGACACTAACCGCATTCATGAAGGCTCAACCCTCTTTTATATCCCAAAGGCCCCACATCGTAAAAACATTGATTTATGGTTTCAAAATATAAATTTGGAGGTGGGTAGTGTGAACACAAATATTTAATTCATTGCACATAACACTAACAGCAATTAGTTCCATATTTTCTTTTTTTTTTTTTTGAGACAGGGTCTCACTCTGATACCCAAGCTGCAGCGGCAGAATCATGGCTCACTGCAGCCTTGACCTCCTAGGGTCAAGCGATCTTCCCACCTCAGCCTTCTGAGTGCTGGGACTACAGGCAAGGGCCATGACACCTAACCAAGTCTATTTTTGTATTTTAAGTAGAGACGGGGTTTCACTATGTTACCCAGGCTGGTCTTGAACTCCTGGGCTCAGGGGATCCAGCCACCTAGGACTCCCAAAGTGCTGGGATTACAGGCATGAGCCATGGCACCCGGCCAGTCCCCTTTTCTGTTAAATGGAATGCATCTCTCAGTCTTAAATTTTAACCAGATTAAAAGCATTGCCTGAAATTTATTTCCAAGAAGCTGCAAACCCTTATGATGATGGCCAAGCAAATGAAACATGATTTGTCCTGAATATTCAGTTGCACATGCACAAGAAATCCTTCCTCTGATTACATTTTTGTTACCACTGGACTCCTCCCAACAGAAACCACATTTTATACATAAAAACAGTACTCTTGATTCCTTCAACTATTTTTTCCTCTTTCCTGAATTTTCGTAAACTACCTCAAATCTTTTAAGAAACAATAAAGTATACATAGATGAATGGATGACGCTGAGAACAGATTCATAATAGAATACAGAGATAAATAATACATCAATAGAATGAAGAAAGTAGATTATAGATAGATACATAAATACATAACTATATGAGTGACCCAGCACCATTTAATGAAAATTATGTCCTTCCTCAATTATGTGTCAAACTGCTTCTGTCATATATCAAGTGTCCATGTACAGGTTTGTTTCTGAGCTCTCTCTGGTGCTGCATTGGGTCTACTTGCCTTCCTCTATCTTAATCACTGCAATTTATTATATATGTTGACATCTGGTAAAGCAAGTAATTTCATCATTTACTTCTTTGATATGTGTATTCTCCACTCTTGACCCTTTGCACTTATGTATAAATTTTAGAATCTGCCTTCCAACTTTACCAAACAAAAATTTTATTGAGATTTTGATTGCAATTACATTCAAGCTCTAGATTATTATTAAGTTTTCAATCCATGTTTATGTCATATTTCCCTATAGAGAGCTTTCTAATTTATCTCAGTAATGTTTAATAGTGTTATACATTGGTAGTCCTGCATACTTTTAGATAAATTTGTTCCTAGGCATGTTATAGTTTTTATACTATTTGAATACCTTCTAAATTTTATCTTCTATTTCTTGTTTGTGAAAATCAAATTGATTTTTTAATAATTCACTTTAAATCTAGAAATTTTGCTAGGCTCATTAATTCTAATAATTAATTTGTGGATCCTCTTTGAATTCCTACGTAAATGATCCTGTCTACTAAGAATAACATCAGTTTTGTTTCTTCTTTCCAAACTTTTTGTTCTGTTTTGTTTCTCTCTTGCTCTACTGAACTGGCTAACACTTCCAAAACAATGTTGTTCAGATGTGGTTAAAGATGAAATAATTTTGTAAATTATTCAATATTTTCAACATTCATTATATTATTTATTGTAAGTTTATTGTAGGTATCCAATATCTCCTCCTAGTTTGCTTAGTTTCTTTTTAAAATTCTATTTTTGATAAAAATAGAATTTTTATCAAATGCATTTTCTGCATCTGTTGATACCACTGTATCATTTTTCTTTAATAATCTAATCATGTTGGGGATTTCATTAACTGATTGTCCAAAGTTAATCTATGAATGAGATCCTGGAAGAAATCCAACTTTATCATAATATATTATGCCTCTATAAAGATTGAGATTCTGTTTGCCAACATTTGCTAATATTTTGTTTACAGATTTTTTAATCTTTGTTCATAATGAGATTGACCTATAAATTGTCTTTCTTGTACTGTCCTTACCTGGTTTTGTTATGGAGCTTACTAGTCTTATTATGTAGTCGGGAAATATTCCCAATTTTTCTTTCCTCTTGAATGGCAGAACTTATTAGAAAAGCTAATTTGACCTAGATGGTTTTTTTCAGAAAATGCTGATTACTGATTCAGTTTCCTTAATGATTAATAATTGTTCGTTTCTCTTTCTTTCTAATTTTTGATTAGTTATAATTTTCAAACAATTTTTGATACATTTTCAAATTTATTGATATGTGACCAGTAATGTCCAGTCATTGCTTAGCTTCTCCAATATCCCTAATATTGTACTTTTCTCACAGCAGATGTTGACAATTTGTGTCTTTTCTTTGCTCATTCTCATGAGAAGTTTGTCAGTGTTATTAGTCTTTTTAAAAAACAGACTTTGGTGTTACTCATTCTCTCTATAACTTCTGCCTTATATTTAATATGTTCTCCCTTCCACTTTAATGAACTTAACTTATCATTCTTTTTAAATTTTTTTTTTTTTTTTTGAGATGGAGTTTCGCTCTTGTCACCCAGGCTGGAGTACAATGGCACGATATCAGTTCACTGCAACCTCCACCTCCCGGGTCCAAGCTATTCTCCTGCCTCAGCCTCCCAAGTAGCTGGGATTACAGACATGTACCACCACACCTGGCTAATTTTGTCTTTTTGATAGAGACTGAGTTTTACCATGTTGACCAGGCTGGTCTCAAACTCCAGACCTCAGGTGATCCGCCTGCCTTGGCATCCCAAATTGCTGGGATTGTAGGTGTGAGCCACCACACCAGGCCTTAAATTCTTAAAATGGATGCTTAGTTTAATTTTTGACCATTTTGAATACATACATTTAAAGCTCTGAATATGTCTCTACAAATTGCTTACTTCAAGTTTTGGCATGTAGTACTTTCATTATTGTGTGGATGAAAATATTTCCGATCTTTTATTGCAATTGTTTCTTTAAACTAAAGGTTTTGGCAGTTCCTAATTTATCTTGAATATTCAAAAAAGAATTTGCCTTTGTCATGGGAAAAGAAGAAAATAGAAGGGCTCACCTAACGTACCCTCATATGAATCATATTCAAGCCCTTCCTTTGTCAACTATCTCCCTCTCCAACCTACTGGGAGCTCGGACCAGTGGTATTGTTTAGCTTCCATTTAGCTGCAATAGTAATACTAATTAACTTATTAATTAAACTCATTACTTCACCCTCATTCCTTCTCCTATTTTATCAGCTATATTAAATGTAGAAATAACTGGTCTTACATTAAATCCAGAAGGAGAAGTAAGACACAGATTAACAATAAAAAGATCTGATAAAAATATAATTCCTTTTACTTAATGATAACAAAATGGACATAGAAATTGTATTATTTTAGTTAAGCAATACATTTCTAGTAATAATAACAATGGATATCTGTTAAAATCAAAACTGAAGTCTATTGGACCTCTACCTTACTTTATACACAACAATTAATGTGAGTTTTGATCATCCGTAAATCTAAATGTAAGAGTGAAAACTAAGTCTTATATAATAAAATGTAGGAGAATATATTTGCAACTTTGTGGTTCACAAAGGTTCCTTAGAGAATTCCCAAAATCAATAATCATTAAAGAAAAAGGTGATAAATAAGATTTCACTAACATTAAAAATTTCCACTTATCCAAGTCACCATTAAGGAAATGGAAAGGCAAGCCACACTGGGAGAAAAATATTCATATCTTACAAAGAACTTCACTCCAAAATATTTAAGAGGTATTATAAATCAATAATCAAAAGATTAACACAACTTAATATAATGAGCAAAAGAAGCAGATACTTCACAAAAGAAAAGGTATAGTAATAGCCAGAGAGAAAAATGAAAAGATGTTCAACATTATCAGGAAAAGACAAATTAAAACCAGATAAGACTCTACTTACCACCTAAGGAAATAGTTAAAACTTAAAAGGACTGACAATTATCAATTTTTGGCAAGAAAGTGGAACAAATGAACCTTCTCACACACATTGCTGATAGGGCTATAAAATTTTGCAACCACTTTGAAAGTCTGTTTGGCAATATATTTTAAAATAAAGCACATTACTACCATACAACTCAGCAATACCATTCATAGACATTTACCCAGCAGAAATGAAAATATATGTCAAAGAAAAGACTTGAGTTGAATAATTGTAACAGTTTTATTCATAATAGCCCAAAACAACACAACCCAAATGTTCACAGGAAACAGATAAAATGTTTTATATTCATATGATGAAATATTCTTTAGCAATACCATAAAATAAACTACTGATGCAAGCAACAATATGGGTTAATCTCAAAAGCATTCTGTTTAGAGAAAGAAGCCAAATTGCATACTATATGATTATGTTTATATATTTAATAAAATTCAAGAACAGCCAAAGCTAATCTATAATGATAGAGGTAAAAGATAATGGTGCCCACGGGGGAAGGGCTATGGAATTAACTGGCAAAGAGTATGATAGAACAATCTGGAAAGAGAAAAATGTGCTAAAACTTGACTGATATGTTAGTTACAAGGATGTTGATTATAAAGGTATATAGAATGGCTAACATTCAACAAATTTTATACTCAAGGTTTGTACATTCCACACTGTCAATTTTATCTCCATTTTAAAAATGAAAGTTCAAAAGTATCTTTCCCAATTTGTGTAACTGTCTAAAATAAGTTTTAGAAATGTGACCCAGAACATTACCTTACTAATTACTCCAGTGGATAACAATATACAACCACTGGAATCAAAGGGAGTTGTATTTTAAATCAGGCTTTGGACATGAAGAGACACTTCTCAGAAGAAGACATACATGTGCCCAACAATCATAAGAAAGAAACCTCAACATCACTGATAGAGAAATGCAAACCAAAACCACAATAAGATATCATCTAACACCAGTCATAATGGCTATTATTAAAAATAAAAAATAATAAATGCTGGCAAGGTTGTGGAGAAAAAAGAACACTTATACACTGTTGGTGGGAGTGTAAATTAGTTCAACCATTACAGAAGACAGTGTGGTGACTCCCCAAAGACCTAAAAACAGAAACACAATTCAACCCAATAATCCAATTACTGGGCATATATTCAAAAGAATATAAATCATTCTATTATAAAAAGACATGCATGCATATGTTCATTGCAGCACTATCACAATAGCAAAGACATGGAGTCAACCCAAATGCCCATCAATGATAGACTGGATAAAGAAAACATGGTATATATACACCATGGAATACTATGCAGCCATAAAAAAGAATGAGATCATGTTCTTTTTAGGGAGATGGATGGAGCTGGAGGCCATTATCCTCAGCAAGCTAACGCATGAACAGAAAACCAAACATCACATGTTCTCACTTATAATCGGGAGCTGAATGATGAGAATAAATGAACACATAGAAGGGAACAACACACACTGGGGCTTTTCAAAGGATAGAGGCTGAGAGGACTGAGAGGATCAGGAAAAATAACTAATGGATGCCAGGCTTAATACCTGGGTGTTGAAATAATCTATACAACCAACCCCTGTGACTCACGTTTACCTATGTAACAAACCTGCACATCCTGCACATGTACTCCTGAACATAAAATAAAAGTTAAAAAAAAAAAATCAGGATTTGGCACTTAAAACCCATGTCGACCCAAGCAATACTTTTGTTAAGCCATTTTATTATTGACATATGATTGACATACAGAAAACCGTACATATTTAATGTATACAACTTGACGAGTTTGGAAATAAGAATATATCCATGAAACCATCGCTATAGTCTATGCCATAAACCTATGTATCAACTCCAAAAGTTTCTTCCTGCCCTCTTTGTGTTGTGTATGTGTGTGATAAGAACACTTGACGTAAAATCTACACTCTTAGAAAATCTTAAAATATACATCAAAATATGGTTAACCTCTTAAATAACAATGTTAATGTATCGTTTGTTGTAAATATTAATTAACGGTTAAATTACTAAAAAACTGGGAGGAAAAACCTTACCTATTTTTTTATTGGAGTTTGACCATTATGAAAAGATGACAATGATATGGGTATAGCAGAATCTGCTTTTTTGCCCCCCCTTGGGGTATGGTTTGAATGTCCCCTTAAACCGCAGGTTGAAATGTAATTGTCATTGTGACAGTATTAAGAGGTGGAACCTCTAAGAGGCATTAGGTGATGAGGACTCTGCACTCACAAATGAATTAATGCCATCATCTTGGGTGTGGGATATGAGAGATTCACCCCCTTTTTCTCTCTATCTCTCTCATATGCTCTCTGACCTTGTGATGCCTTCTGCTATGTTATGGTGCAGCAAGAAGGACCTCACCAGTTGTCGCCTCTCAATCTTTGAATCCTAGCTTCCAGAATCATGAACCAAATAAATTTCTTTTATTTATAAATTACTCAGTCTATGTTATTTTGTTATAGGAGCAGAAAACAAACTATACGTTACTAAATTGTTCTTTAGGAATTAAATAGGACTGACTGTACCCTCCAAGCTCTAGCATGAGCACTTGATCAAGACTCACTCAGTAAGAGTAATCAGAAAACTAGTCACAGTAATACATTTGTAGGAGTATTCACATAGCTCAAGATAAAACTAGATACTCAGATTGGCTGGAATTCTTTGGGGAAAGAAACTTTTCTTTTTCTCTTTCCAGAGGTTGCTAAGTTCATCTTTGAAAATATTTGTGATAAACTTTCCTGAGGATAAAATAAATACAGAGGAAAGAATAATTAAGAAATTGGAAAGCATCATTTGGGAACTTGAATCTGTTGTGTCTAGACTTATTTTAATTTCAACCACTTTAAGGTAGCCAACTCTCAATGTCCTGATATGATAGTAAATATGATGCCGTTCACAAATTTAAAAGCAGAATTAAAAAGTAGAAATCACTGTGGCTCATGCCTGTAATCCCAGCACTTAGGGAGGGTGAGGCAGGTGGATCACGTGAGGTCGGGAGTTCGCGACCAACTGACCAACATGGAGAAACCCCATCTATACTAAAATACAAAATTAACCAGGCATGGTTGCCTATAATCCCAGCTACTCGGGAAGCTGAGGCAGGAGAATCGCTTGACCCCGGGAGGCGGAGGTTGCAGTGAGCCAAGATCACGCCATTGCACTCCAGCCAGGACAACAAGAGCAAAACTCCATCTCAAAAAAAAAAAAAAAAAAAAAAGTAGCCATCATATTGTGCTCTACAGTTTACAAAAATGCTTTCATATACATTTAATTTCAATCAATTCTTACAGGCACTTATTAAAGTGATCAACTGGAAGTAAGGTTATCAACAATGGAAGACGAAATGAATGAAATGTAGCGAGAAGACAAGTTTAGAGAAAAAAGAATAAAAGGAAATGAACAAAGCCTCCAAGAAATATGGGACTATGTGAAAAGACCAAATCTATGTCTGATTGGTGTACCTCAAAGTGACAGGGAGAATGGAACCAAGTTGGAAAACACTCTGCAGGATATTATCCAGGAGAACTTCCCCAATCTAGCAAGGCAGGCCAAAATTCAAATCCAGGAAATACAGAACACCACAAAGATACTCCTCGAGAAGAGCAACTCCAAGACACATAATTATCAGATTCACCAAAGTGGAAATGAAGGAAAAAATGTTAAGGGCAGCCAGAGAGAAAGGTCAGGTTACCCAGAAAGGGAAGCCCATCAGACTAACAGCTGATCTCTCGACAGAAACTCTACAAGCCAGAAGAGAGTGAGGGCCAATATTCAACATTCTTAAAGAAAAGAATTTTCAACCCAGAATTTCATATCCAGCCAAACTAAGCTTCATAAGTGAAGGAGAAATAAAATACTTTACAGACAAGCAAATGCTGAGAAACTTTGTCACCACCAGGCCTGCCCTAAAAGAGCTCCTGAAGGAAGCACTAATCATGGAAAGGAATAACCGGTACCAGCCACTGCAAAAAACATGCCAAACTGTAAAGACCATCAAGGCTAGGAAGACACCGCATCAACTAACAAACAAAATAACCAGCTAACATCATAATGACATGATCAAATTTACACATAACAATATTAACCTTAAATGTAAATAGGCTAAATGTTCCAGGTAAAAGACACAGACTGGCAAATTGGATAAAGAGTCAAGACCCATCAGTGTGCTGTATTCAGGAAACCCATCTCACGTACAGAGACACACATAGGCTCAAAATAAAGGGATGGAGGAAGATCTACCAAGCAAATGGAAGACAAAAAAAGGCAGGGGTTGCAATCCTAGTCTCTGATAAAACAGACTTTAAACCAACAAAGATCAAAACAGACAAAGAAGGCCATTATATAACGGTAAAGGGATCAATACAAAAAGAAGAGCTAACTATCCTAAATATATATGCACCCAATACAGAGCACCCAGATTCATAGAGCAAGTCCTGAGTGACCTACAAAGAGACTTAGACTCCCACACAATAATAATGGGAGACTTTAACACCCCACTGTCAACATTAGACAGATCAACGAGACAGAAAGTTAACAAGGATATCCAGGAATTGAACTCAGCTCTGCACCAAGCAGATCTAATAGACATCTACAGAACTCTCCACCACAAATCAACAGAATATACATTTTTTTCAGCACCACACCACACCTATTCCAAAACTGACCCCACACTTGGAAGTAAAGCACTCCTCAGCAAATGTAAAAGAACAGAAATTATAACAAACTGTCTCTCAGACCACAGTGCAATCAAACTAGAACTCAGGATTAAGAATCTCACTCAAAACTGCTAAACTACATGGAAACTGAACAACCTGCTCCTGAATGACTACTGGGTACATAACGAAATGAAGGCAGAAATAAAGATGTTCTTTGAAACCAATGAGAAAAAAGACACAACATACCAGAATCTCTGGGACACATTCAAAGCAGTGCGTAGAGGGAAATTTATAGCACTAAATGCCCACAAGAGAAAGCAGGAAAGATCCAAAATTGACACCCTAACATCACAATTAAAAGAACTAGAAAAGCAAGAAAAAACACATTCAAAAGCTAGCAGAAGGCAAGAAATAACTAAGATCAGAGCAGAACTGAAGGAAATAGAGACATAAAAAACCCTTCAAAAAATTAATGAATCCAGGAGCTGGTTTTTTGAAAAGATCAACAAAATTGATAGACCTCCAGCAAGACTAATAAAGAAAAAAAGAGAGAAGACTCAAATAGACGCGATAAAAAATAACAGAGGGGATATCACCACCAATCCCATAGAAATACAATCTACCATCAGAGAATACTATAAACACCTCTATGCAAATAAACTAGAAAATCTAGAAGAAATGGATAAATTCCTCGACACATACAACCTATCAAGACTAAACCAGGAAGAAGTTGAATCTCTGAATAGACCAATAACAGGCTCTGAAATTGAGGCAATAATTCATAGCTTACCAACCAAAAAAAGTCCAGGACCAGATGGATTCACAGCCGAATTCTACCAGAGGTATAAAGAGGAGCTGGTACCATTCCTTCTGAAACTATTCCAAACAATAGAAAAAGAGGGAATCCTCCCTAACTCATTTTATCAGGCCAGCATCATCCTGATACCAATGCCTGGCAGAGACACAACAAAAAAAGAGAATTTTAGACCAATATCCTTGATGAACATTGATGCAAAAATCCTCAATAAAATACTGGCAAACTGAGTCCAGCAGCACATCAAAAAGCTGATCCACCATTATCAAGTGGGCTTCATCCCTGGGATGCAAGGCTGGTTCAATATATGCAAATCAATAAACATAATCCAGAAAATAAACAGAACCAAGGACAAAAACCACTATGGTTATCTCAATAGATGCAGAAAAGGCCTTTGACAAAATTCAACAACACTTCATGCTAAAAACTCTCAAGAAATTAGGTATTGATGGGACGTATCTCAAAATAACAAGAGCTATCTATTGCAAACCCACAGCCAATAACATACTGAATGGACAAAAACTGGAAGCACTCCCTTTAAAAACTGGCACAACACAGGGATGCCTTCTCTCACCATGCCTACTCCACAGAGTGTCGAAAGTTCTGGTCAGGGCAATCAGGCAGGAGAAGGAAATAAAGGGTAATCAATTAGGAAAAGAGGAAGTCAAATTGTCCCTGTTTGCAGATGACATGATTGCATATCTAGAAAACCGCATTGTCTCAGCCCAAAATCTCCTTAAGCTGATAAGCAACTTCAGCAAAGTCTCAGGATACAAAATCAACGTACAAAAATCACAAGCATTCTTATACACCAATAACAGACAAACAGAGAGCCAAATCATGAGTGAACTCCCATTTAAAATTGCTTCAGAGAGAATAAAATACCTAGGAATCCAACTTACAAGGGATGTAAAGGACCTCTTCAAGGAGAACTACAAACCACTGCTCAATGAAATAAAAGAGGACACAAACAAATGGAAGAACATTCCATGCTCATGGGTAGGAAGAATCAATATCATGAAAATGGCCATACTGTCCAAGGTAATTTACAGATTCAATGCCATCCCCATCAAGCTACCAATGACTTTCTTCACAGCATTGGAAAAAACTACTTTAAAGTTCATATGGAACCAAAAAAGAGCCCGCATTGCCAAGTCAATCCTAAGCCAAAAGAACAAAGCTGGAGGCATCAGGCTACCTGACTTCAAACTATACTACAAGGCTACAGTAACCAAAACAGCATGGTACTGGTACCAAAACAGAGATATAGACCAATGGAACAGAACAGAGCCCTCAGAAATAATGGCGCATATCTACAACTATCTGATCTTTGACAAACCTGACAAAAACAAAAAATGGGGAAAGGATTCCCTGTTTAATAAATGCTGCTGGGAAAACTGGCTAGCCATATGTAGAAAGCTGAAACTGGATCCCTTCCTTACACCTTATACAAAAATTAATGCAAGATGGATTAAAGACTTAAATGTTAGACCTAAAACCATAAAAACCCTAGAAGAAAACCTAGGCAATACCATTCAGGACATAGGCATGGGCAAGGGTTTCATGTCTAAAACACCAAAAGCAATGGCAACAAAAGCCAAAATTGACAAATGGGATCTAATTAAACTAAAGAGCTTCTGCACAGCAAAAGAAACCACCATCAGAGTAAACAGGCAACCTACAGAATGGGAGACAATTTTTGCAACCTACTCATCTGACAAAGGGCTAATATCCAGAATCTATAATGAACTCCAACAAATTTACAAGAAAAAAACAAACAACCCCATCAAAAAGTGGGCGAAGGACATGAACAGACACTTCTCAAAAGAAGACATTTATGCAGCCAAAAAACACATGAAAAAATGCTCATCATCACTGGCCATCAGAGAAATGCAAATCAAAACCACAATGATACTCCATCTCACACCAATTAGAATGGCAATCATTAAAAAGTCAGGAAACAACAGGTGCTGGAGAGGATGTGGAGAAATAGGAACACTTTTACACTGTTGGTGGGACTGTAAACTAGTTCAACCACTGTGGAAGTCAGTGTGGCGATTCCTCAGGGATCTAGAACTAGAAATACCATTTGACCCAGCCATCCCATTACTGGGTCTATACCCAAAGGATTATAAATCATGCTGCTATAAAGACACATGCACATGTATGTTTATTGCGGCACTATTCACAATAGCAAAGACTTGGAGCCAATCCAAATGTCCAACAATGATAGACTGCATTAAGAAAAGGTGGCACATGGGGGAGGAGCCAAGATGGCTGAATAGGAACAGCTCCGGTCTACAGCTCCCAGCATGAGCGACGCAGAAGACAGGTGATTTCTGCATTTCCATCTGAGGTAGCGGGTTCATCTCACTAGGGAGTGCCAGACAGTGGGCGCAGGTCAGTGGGTGCACGCACCGTGCACGAGCTGAAGCAGGGCGACGCATTGCCTCACTCAGGAAGCTCAAGGGGTCAGGGAGTTCCCTTTCCGAGTCAAACAAAGGGGTGACAGACGGCACCTGGAAAATCAGGTCACTCCCACCAGATTACTGCGCTTTGCCAACGGGCTTAAAAAACAGCGCACATGTAGATGACATCCCGCACCTGGCTCAGAGGGTCCTACGCCCACGAAGTCTCGCTGATTGCTAGCACAGCAGTCTGAGATCAAACTGCAAGGCGGCAGCGAGGCTAGCAGAAGGGCGCCCGCCATTGCCCAGGCTTGCTTAGGTAAACAAAGCAGCCAGGAAGCTCGAACTGGGTGGAGCCCACCACAGCTCAAGGAGGCCTGCCTGCCTCTGTAGGCTCCACCTCTCTGGGCAGGGCACAGACAAACAAAAAGACAGCAGTAACCTCTGCAGACTTAAATGTCCCTGTCTGACAGCCTTGAAGAGAGCAGTGGTTCTCCCAGCACACAGCTGGAGATCTGAGAACAGGCAGACTGCCTCCTCAAGTGGGTCCCTGACCCCTGACCCCCAGCAGCATAACTGGGAGGCACCCCCCAGCAGGAGCAGACTGACACCTCACACGTCCAGGTAATGCAACAGACCTGCAGCTGAGGGTCCTATCTGTTAGAAGGAAAACTAACAAACAGAAAGGACATCCACACCAAAAACCCATCTGTACATCACCATCATCAAAGACCAATAGTAGATAAAACCACAAAGATGGGGAAAAAACAGAGAAGAAAAACCGGAAACTCTAAAAAGCAGAGCGCCTCTCCGCCTCCAAAGGAATGTAGTTCCTCACCAGCAACAGAACAAAGCTGGACGGAGAATGACTTTGATGAGCTGAGAGAAGAAGGCTTCAGATGATCAAATTACTCCGAGCTACGGGAGGACATTCAAACCAAAGGCAAAGAAGTTGAAAACTTTGAAAAAAATTTAGAAGAATGTATAACTAGAATAACCAATAGAGAGAAGTGCTTAAAGGAGCTGATGGAGCTGAAAACGAAGGCTCGAGAACTACGTGAAGAATGCAGAAGCCTCAGGAGCCGATGCGATCAACTGGAAGAAAGGGTATCAGCAATGGAAGATGAAATGAATGAAATGAAGCGAGAAGGGAAGTTTAGAGAAAAAAGAATAAAAAGAAACGAGCAAAGCCTCCAAGAAATATGGGACTATGTGAAAAGACCAAATCTACGTCTGATTGGTGTACCTGAAAGTGACGGGGAGAATGGAACCAAGTTGGAAAACACTCTGCAGGATATTATCCAGGAGAACTTCCCCAATCTAGCAAGGCAGGCCAACGTTCAGATTCAGGAAATACAGAGAACACCACAAAGATACTCCTCGAGAAGAGCAACTCCAAGACACATAATTGTCAGATTCACCAAAGTTAAAATGAAGGAAAAAATCTTAAGGGCAGCCAGAGAGAAAGGTCAGGATACACTCAAAGGGAAGCCCATCAGACTAACAGCGGATCTCTCGGCAGAAAATCTACAAGCCAGAAGAGAGTGGGGGCCAATATTCAACATTCTTGAAGAAAAGAATTTTCAACCCAGAATTTCATATCCAGCCAAACTAAGCTTCATAAGTGAAGGAGAAATAAAATACTTTACAGACAAGCAAATGCTGAGAGATTTTGTCACCACCAGGCCTGCCCTAAAAGAGCTCCTGAAGGAAGCACTAAACATCGAAAGGAACAACTGGTACCAGCCACTGCAAAATCATGCCAAAATGTAAAGACCATGAAGACTAGGAAGAAACTGCATCAACTAAAGAGCAAAATAACCAGCTAACATCATAATGACAGGATCAAATTCACACATAACAATATTAACTTTAAATATAAATGGACTAAATGCTCCAATTAAAAGACACAGACTGGAAAATTGGATAAAGAGTGAAGACCCATCAGTGTGCTGTATTCAGGAAGCCCATCTCATGTATAGAGACAAACATAGGCTCAAAATAAAAGGATAGAGGAAGATCTACCAAGCAAATGGAAAACAAAAAAAGGCAGGGGTTGCAATCCTAGTCTCTGATAAAACAGACTTCAAACCAACAAAGATCAAAAGAGACAAAGAAGGCCATTACTTAATGGTAAAGGGATCAATTGAACAAGAAGAGCTAACTATCCTAAATATATATGCACCCAATACAGGAGCATCCAGATTCATAAAGCAAGTAATGAGTGACCTACAAAAAGACTTAAACTCCCACACATTAATAATGGGAGACTTTAACACCCCACTGTCAACATTAGACAGATTAACGAGACAGAAAGTCAAACAGGATACCCAGGAATTGAACTCAGCTCTGCACCAAACAGACCTAATAGACATCTACAGAACTCTCCACCACAAATCAACAGAATATACATTCTTTTCAGCACCACACCACACCTATTCCAAAATTGACCACATAGTTGGAAGTAAAGCTCTCCTCAGCAAATGTAAAAGAACAGAAATTATAACAAACTATCTCTCAGACCACAGTGCAATCAAACTAGAAATCAGGATTAAGAATCTCACTCAAAACCGCTCAACTACATGGAAACTCAACAACCTGCTCCTGAATGACTACTGGGTACATAACAAAATGAAGGCAGAAATAAAGATGTTCTTTGAAACCAATGAGAACAAAGACACAACATACCAGAATCTCTGGGACACATTCAAAGCAGTGTGCAGAGGGAAATTTATAGCACTAAATGCCCACAAGAGAAAGCAGGAAAGATCCAAAATTGACACCCTAACATCACAATTAAAAGAACTAGAAAAGCAAGAGCAAACACATTCAAAAGCTAGCAGAAGGCAAGAAATAACTAAAATCAGAGCAGAACTGAAGGAAATAGAGACACAAAAAACCCTTCAAAAAATTAATGAATCCAGGAGCTGATTTTTTGAAAGGATCAACAAAATTGATAGACCGCTAGCAAGACTAATAAAGAAAAAAAGAGAGAAGAATCAAATAGACACAATCAAAAATAATAAAGGGGATATCTCCACCGATCCCACAGAAATACAAACTACCATCAGAGAATACTACAAACACCTCTATGCAAATAAACTAGAAAATCTAGAAGAAATGGATAAATTCCTCGACACATACACTCTCCCAAGACTAAACCAGGAAAAAGTTGAATCTCTGAATAGACCAATAACAGGCTCTGAAATTGTGGCAATAATCAATAGCTTACCAACCAAAAAGAGTCCAGGACCAGATGGATTCACAGCCGAATTCTACCAGAGGTACAAGGAGGACCTGGTACCATTCCTTCTGAAACTATTCCAATCAATAGAAAAAGAGGGAATCCTCCCTAACTCATTTTATGAGGCCAGCATCATCCTGATACCAAAGCCTGGCAGAGACACAACAAAAAAAGAGAATTTTAGACCAATATCCTTGATGAACATTGATGCAAAAATCCTCAATAAAATACTGGCAAACCGAATCCAGCAGGACATCAAAAAGCTTATCCACCATGAGCAAGTGGGCTTCATCCCTGGGATGCAAGGCTGGTTCAATATACGCAAATCAATAAATATAATCCAGCATATAAACAGAACCAAAGACAAAAACCACATGATTATCTCAACAGATGCAGAAAAGGCCTTTGACAAAATTCAACAACACTTCATGCTAAAAACTCTCAATAAATTAGGTATTGACGGGACGTATTTCAAAATAATAAGAGCTATCTGTGACAAACCCACAGCCAATATCATACTGAAGGGGCAAAAACTGGAAGCATTCCCTTTGAAAACTGGAACAAGACAGGGATGCCCTCTCCTGCCACTCGTATTCAACATAGTGTTGGAAGTTCTGGCCAGGGCAATTAGGCAGGAGAAGGAACTAAAGGGTATTCAGTTAGGAAAAGAAGAAGTCAAATTGTCCCTGTTTGCAGACGACATGATTGTATATCTAGAAAACCCCATTGTCTCAGCCCAAAATCTCCTTAAGCTGATATGCAACTTCAGCAAAGTCTCAGGATACAAAATCAATGTACAAAAATCACAAGCATTCTTATACACCAACAACAGACAAACAGAGAGCCAAATCATGAGTGAACTCCCATTCACAACTGCTTCAAAGAGAATAAAATACCTAGGAATCCAACTTACAAGGGATGTGAAGGACCTCTTCAAGGAGAACTACAAACCACTGCTCAGGGAAATAAAAGAGGATACAAACAAATGGAAGAACATTCCATGCTCATGGGTAGGAAGAATCAATATCGTGAAAATGGCCATACTGCCCAAGGTAATTTACAGATTCAATGCCATCCCCATCAAGCTACCAATGACTTTCTTCACAGCATTGGAAAAAACTACTTTAAAGTTCATATGGAACCAAAAAAGAGCCCGCATCTCCAAGTCAATCCTAAGCCAAAAGAACAAAGCTGGAGGCATCACACTACCTGACTTCAAACTATACTACAAGGCTAACCAAAACAGCATGGTACTGGTACCAAAACAAGAGATATAGATCAATGAAACAGAACAGAGCCCTCAGAAATAACGCCGCATATCTACAACTATCTGATCTTTGACAAACCTGAGAAAAACAAGCAATGGGGAAAGGATTCCCTATTTAATAAATGGTGCTGGGAAAAGTGGCTAGCCATATGTAGAAAGCTGAAACTGGATCCCTTCCTTACACCTCATACAAAAATCAATTCAAGATGGATTAAAGATTTAAACGTTAGACCTAAAACCATAAATACCCTAGAAGAAAACCTAGGCAATACCATTCAGGACATAGGCATGGGCAAGGACTTCATGTCTAAAACACCAAAAGCAATGGCATCAAAAGCCAAAATTGACAAATGGGATCTATTTAAACTAAAGAGCTTCTGCACAGCAAAAGAAACTACCATCAGAGTGAACAGGCAACCTACAGAATGGGAGAAAATTTTCGCAACCTACTCATCTGACAAAGGGCTAATATCAAGAATCTACAATGAACTCAAACAAATTCACAAGAAAAAAACAAACAACCCCATCAAAAAGTGGGTGAAGGACATGAACAGACACTTCTCAAAAGAAGACATTTATGCAGCCAAAAAACACATGAAAAAATGCTCACCATCACTGGCCATCAGAGAAATGCAAATCAAAACCACAATGAGATACCATCTCACACCAATTAGAATGGCAATCATTAAAAAGTCAGGAAACAACAGGTGCTGGAGAGGATGTGGAGAAATAGGAACACTTCTACACTGTTGGTGGGACTGTAAACTAGTTCAACCATTGTGGAAGTCAGTGTGGCGATTCCTCAGGGATCTAGAACTAGAAATACCATTTGACCCAGCCATCCCATTACTGGGTATATACCCAAAGGACTATAAATCATGCTGCTATAAAGACACATGCACACGTATGTTTATTGCGGCATTATTCACAATAGCAAAGACTTGGAACCAACCCAAATGTCCAACAATGATAGACTGGATTAAGAAAATGTGGCACATATACTCCATGGAATACTCTGCATCCATAAAAAATGATGAGTTCATGTCCTTTGTAGGGACATGGATGAAATTGGAAATCATCATTCTCAGTAAACTATAGCAAAAACAAAAAACCAAACACCGCATATTCTCACTCATAGGTGGGAATTGAACAATGAGAACACATGGACACAGGAAGGGGAACATCACACTCTGGGGACTGTTGTGGGGTTGGGGGAGGGGGGAGGGATAGCATTGGGAGATATACCTAATGCTAGATGATGAGTTAGTGGGTGCAGCACACCAGCATGGCACATGTATACATATGTAACTAACCTGCACATTGTGCACATGTACCCTAAAACTTAAAGTATAATAATAATAAATTAAAAAAAAAGAAAAAGAAAAGGTGGCACATATACACCATGGAATACTATGCAGCCATAAAAAAATGATGAGTTCATGTCCTTTGTAGGGACATGGATGAAGCTGGAAACCATCATTCTCAGCAAACTATCGCAAGAACAAAAAACCAAACACCACATGTTCTCACTCATAGGTGGGAACTGAACAATGAGAACACATGGACACAGGAAGGGGAACATCACACACTGGGGACTGTTGTGGGGTGGGGGAAGAGGGGATGGATAGCATTAGTAGATATACCTAATGCTAAATGATGAGTTAATGGGTGCAGCACACCAACGTGGCACATGTATACATATGTAACAAACCTGCACGTTGTGCACATATACCCTAAAACTTAAAGTATAATAATAAAAAAATATATATAACCCATTTTAAAGTCGTAATAATTGAGATCTGAGAATTTTCCAAGGCCTCATACTTTTAATGAATAGAGCATAAACTTGAATTCCTGACTTTAATAGGCACGCCATTTCCCAAATAACATAGACACTTATTAAACATATTTTCACTTCCTGTTTTACCGAATTGTCTGTTGTTTCTCATAATAATATTATGAACTGTCTTCTATGAACTATTGTGAGCTTGTTTTGGCAAGAATTCTTCAGCAACGCAAGGCCTCGTACCTTCCAACTGTAGTGATTGCTTCCACAAATACTGTTCACATAGTCTCCTTCTATGATCTGTAAACATTTATTCTGTAGAAATCAAATTGCTATATTATTCTTTTAGAAACCTCCTAAATATTAGTTCAGAATCCTACTATCTTTTGAAACAGTGGAACCTCCCAAATATTAGTTCAGAATCCTAATAGCTTTTCAAGAAGTGGAACCTCCAAAATATTAGTTCAGAATCCTGTCTCATTTTCAAGCAGTGAAGCACTTTAAGTATGACTAGAATTTAATGTCGCATAGTTTTTTACTTGGTTTCTCTACATCTGTCTTTAAAATATGTTTGAATATATGGTTAGTTTCTGAATGCACATTATCACTATTTCTAGCACCCTATCTTCTCTTGTCATTTTGTGTTAAGGCATGTTTTATCTTAACAACTATTACCATCATCATCATTATCATCATCATTATTCTAAAACAAAAAAACCAGGACTCTTCTTTTTAGATGTGCACAATTTTCAAGGCCTTAAATGGATGATGGATATTGAATGCTTCCCTGTAGAGTGAATGTAGCTTATTAACACCAAGCATCTGATGAAAAAGTCAACTCTTGGTTTTACCCAGCAAGTTGTTCCTACTTTCCTTTATGAAAAGATGCGTAATGGTACTTTCAAGTTTGTCAAAACAAATGTAAGTGCTTTTCTCAATTACTCCTTTTGTTTATTTCATTGGCTTTCTGCTTATCTTTGCTAAACAAAATGCAGAGAGGCCCTTTGAGACCCACTTAACCATTGCCCCTAACGTTAACGAAAGAATCCCAAAAGAGTTAACTGCTTAAAATCCCCATGAGAGACAAGCTGTCAACTGCCATCGTTGATAGGTTTTAGGGATTAATTGAGCAGAAGTTCAGAGTGAGGAAGTAGTATTCTGGCTCTGACTTTATGAGGTCTTCTCAGTGTGGCTTCATTACCCCAAAATGAAAGTAGAAAATCTGTTCCTACTAAAAATAAATGGAGTAGATCATTTGAGTGTTTTATATAAAGAGAAAGACATGATGAAGGGTGACAAAGGAGTTGTGTTGAGAGTTCAGGCCATCTGTGTCACTTGGCTGTAGAGTCTACAACAGTAGGCATGGCCACCGAGGACACATCAAATAGGGAAATAAGAGGAGACCTAGGAGGGAGAGTAAAGCACATCAGGAGAGTTACAAATTGTCTAGGAGCAATCCCACAATGCTGCTACCATCCATTCCCCTGCCATCACCAAGACATGTAATCCCCATAATCTTAACATGCGCTTTCCAGATTTATTTAACCAAGAATAATGAAATCTGTTGCATGTGCAATGAACACACCTCAATGCTGTTTACCCTCTTCAATTGCAACTGCTATCAAAATTTAGAAAATAGACACCATTTGGCTATGTTACTTGGTTTTCTAATTGTTTCCAGGAAGAAACTATTCTTATTTTTGTACTTCTGTTTAAAGAACTATTTTCCACACCAGGCACACTTGGATCTTGAACCAAATTCAGCATCAGAAAGGCTAGATCATCATGGGGTGGAGAAAGTACAGTCAGTGCTCAGGGGTGCCAGATCATGATTTCTGCCTCTAACTCTCCAGGAATCCAGATGATGACTTTTCTTCAACAAATAGTGGCCTGTCAGCCAAGGGAAGGAAGTTTCAAAAGGGGCATAAGAACAAGCAGTGGCAAATGCATCCAAGAGGATGAGTGCTGAAAATAAAGCACTGAGTTCGCAGCTAAGTAAATATAGGTGTCTACCGGTGTAATTTAATGATTTAGGGTGAGCATAGAGTACGTGGGCGATGCAGCAATAGAGACCTCAACTGTAACAAACTTACTGCTTCCAGTCTTGCCTAACTCCAATCTATTATCCAACCACTTCCAGAATATTATATCTGACCACTTTATTCTCCAACTAAAAGTCTTTCAGTGGCTTCCTATTTATTACACAGCATAGTATATATCTGTTATTAGTGTAGCTATTTATCCTTCACTCCAACTGACCCTTCAAGCACCAACTCTTACATAAAACTTTTCCTGAATCAGCAGGTAGATTGAAAACCCTCTTATTTGTGCTTCTCTATAACCCAAGACACAATTTTCTCATATTACTGACAACATCCAATCGCATTTATATGTTTCCATGTTTACCTATCTCCATATACTGACCTCCTTAGGTCAAAGACACTGTCTAGTACATCGTAGAAAACCAATATTTAATTGTGGGATGAATGAGAGGGAATGAGAGAGAGGAATAAAGAATAAAGATGGATGAGTTAAACCTGGAAAAAAGAATATTTGCCTCCAAACAAGAGTGAAGGAGAGGAGGATAGGTAACAGGAAACAAACTAAGTTAATAATATAATAGGAAGCCAAGCAATAAAAAAGCAATCAAATATCAACTCCATGGAAAACTAAAATTCGTTAAGAAATATTGTGTACAGATAAGATGAACTTGAAGGTGGTCTAAGCAATTGTAACTCTGTGTTTATCTCCAAATTTGCCTGGAACCATGATATCAACCCTTGGCCAGTAATGGGATGGATAAAAGGTACTACCTACGGATTTATAATGTGCAGTTTGCATTCTGAAACTTTTCTAGTAGCACCCACTAGCAAGTTATCTGCATTGTTCCTTGAGAATGTAGGTTGATGGTCTGTACCTGCTTGAACTAGTTACACAGCCCGATTCAAGCTATTGACCAGTCGAGTAGGAGGATTCCTCAGGAAACTTGTGCTTGACTGCCCTAAGACCACCATGTCTCATACATATCTTGGCAAATCATGATCTAATGACAAAGCACATTCTGTAAAATTGAGAAAGATCATGGGGGCTTTGTCTGGGAATCTCAAACCTCTCTAATGTTTGTCTGTGTTTTCTTTCTCCTGCTGTACCATACCCTTTACCTTTATCAAAACCTAATTTAAGCACACCTTGTGGAGTCCTTTTAAAATAGTTCTCTGACCCTGTGTACTTGATGCATTTGGCACAGTGAGTTGAGTATTGAAATGACCTTTGTCTCTAATTGTAAACGTTGGCTAAGATTTTGTTTAAGGAAAAGAAAGATGAGGAGTGGGAGATGATGAACTGTTGATGATAGTCTGTCTCCTGGGTCACTTCTGGCTTGAGTCAGGCAAATGCTGCAACCACTGATGAAAAAAGAAGCATATCAATGGAACATGGAGGTGGTATATTCTGAACCAAGGGAAATAGCTACATGGGTTGAGAAAGAAATTCAGACAGAGGGGAAGTCAGCCAAGAATTTTGTAATTTCACTACTTTGAAAAAATGAAAGTAACAGAAAGAACTGAGGCTGCCAAGTACACCAAATAATGCCTGGTGATACTAAAGGGAAGAGAAAGTGTGCCAAAAGGGAATTGGGCAGGTATTTATTTTGCTCAGAATGTGACAGTCTGAATGAGGATCACTAAAAAGAGTATACAGGCTGCAGGGTGAGGAAACCAAAGACAAATGAAACGGGTATTCAGTCACAGACCTAAGTCATTTGTGGAATGTTATAAACAGCATTCTGGGAAGTCTCTGCTAAAATTATGTTTATGCATTCAGATCCAAGGAGGCACTTCCCTTGCATTATATACTGATCAATGGAAGAGAATGTTGGTCTTATTCAGAATTCTCAACTAGTTGCAATTTTTACAGAGATGTGTTAGAGAGTCAAACTCGCAATCTGTAGAGGTGGATAAAGGCAAAGTACATAAAACGTGTATAAACGAAAAATTAGATACTAAATAAAATAATCCTTCTAAAACCTCTGAAATGTTGAAAATACCAGCGACTGTGGATTGGTTATATGATGATACTGAATTACCCCCTAATTTTATGCCTTTGACTCAAGTGATGATTGATGTTGTAATTAAAGAGTTTCCAGATGCTTGGGCTCCTTATGTTACTCTACAAACAGATGAGCAGGATTCTGTAAGGGAAGCTTTCATTGACCTCCTGATTCAGATTCCATAAGTAGGGCTAAATCATGGGGAAAAAAATTAGGATTATTCACAAGAAAGGGTAAAAAGGATAAAATGGGTTTTAAAAAAGAAGCTAGAGATATTTAAACTGGGTAGAATATAGTCACATGATTAATTTTAAAAGATACAGAAAAGGAGGGGATAGATGGAGTAGCTACTAAAATTTTAATGGATCACTATAAGAGATTATATGATCAGGCTGCTTTACCAACTCCTCCATTTATCCTTGCCTTGATGAATTTTAAAAACCTAATGATGACATAAAAACAGAATCCGTAGTCTCTTTCAAGGCAGTGTTGTTTAAAACAGCAGGTGTTTAAAACGAGGTTTATTCTGAATGACAAAATAGCCAGGGACTGTTGGTGCAGTTTCAGAGCAGGCAGTCTGTCAGTTCAGGCAACCATAACAAAATGCCATGGAGTAGGGGCTCAAACAACAGACATTTATTTCTCACAATTCTGGAGACTGGAAGGTTAAGATCAAGGCACTGGCCAATGTGCTTCTCTGGTGAGAGCTCTCTTCTGGCTTGCAGATGGCTGCCTTTTTGCTATATCCTCAAGTGGTGGCTTGAGAGAGACAGAGGGAGAAATAAATAAAGAGAGTAAAAGGTCTGGTCCATCTTCCTCTTCCTATAAGGACATGAATCCCATCATGGGAGCCCCACCCTCATGTCCTCATATAAACCTAATTATCTTCCAAAGGCCCCACCTCCAAATACTGTTGCACTGTGGGTTAGGGCTTCGACATACAAATTTGAAGGGGAAAATATTTTTTTCCAAAATAGTATCTAAGGCCATTTGCATTGGTATGCAAGGAAATCATCCAGGGTAGTAAAATAACATGATTGGAATTCCTAGACACTGATACACAAAATCAGAATATACCTAAATCTGCTAATAAAAAGGTAAAAGGCAATGTAATTCATTTAGCAGGACATGGTAAAATATTCTAAAGTAAAAATATGGTTCAAAGTAGGAATTAATGAATGAAAGTTATGTAAGTTTGTTGCATAACTCCTACCAGAACATATTACTGAAATGAATATGATGTATGAATATGGGACTCTTGTCTTATCCAAACCAGTGGAAACAGAGATAACATATAAATCTGCTATTCATTCTCTTTTAATTTGGCACATTAGATGGTAACCTTTAGAACTACCTAAATCCAGTCAATTCATTAATATAAAGTAATATATTAGGTTGATGCAAAAGTTACTGTGGTTTTTGCCGTTAAGAGTAATGGCAGCTGGGCGCAGTGGCTCACACCTGTAAGCACTTTGGGAGGCTGAGGTGGGCAGATCATCCGAGGTCAGGAGTTCAAGACCAGCCTGGACAACATGGTGAAACCCTGTCTCTATTATAAATACAAAAAATTAGCCAGGTATGGTGGCACACGCCTGCAATCCCAGCTAATCGGGAGGCTGAGGCACAAGAATCCCTTGAACCTGGGAGGCAGAGGTTGCAGTGAGCCTAGATGAGGCCACTGCACTCCATTCTGGGGACCAGATTAAGATTTTGTCCACCCCCCCAAAAAAAAAAAATCAGTAATGGCAAAAACCACAGTAACCTTTGTTCCAGCCTAATAGGATACTGGGAAAGGAAGTAGGGGAAAAAATGAACATCAAGAAATTTTAGTTTTGATTAAAGATATGTTAGATAAAGATAAATCAGTATCCTCAAATTATTTCCTTAATAGTACAGTATAACATGTAAAGCTGATGGAGCCTGGAAGATGACTCAAGACTCTAGAGAACTGAGTAAAGAGTCATTTAATACCATCATTTATGCTCTATATGGTGTTAAAAATTCAAGTTGTGCAACCAGCTGAGGGAGATTGATATTCTATGATCAATTTGACCAGCGCTTCCTTTTAGAATTCTATATTGAAAGAAAGTAAAAATCAAATGTGCATTCATGTGAAATAGTCTCCAATACCTTTTTGTCCTCAATATGGGAGTATTTAAATTATCTTCTTTATAGCTACAACCTGGTAGTAAGAAACATTGATTTGATTCCATCTAAACTACTGATATTCATTGCATCAATAATATAATGTTGGTATCTAAATCTAGAAATCAAGCTAAGCATGACTTCCAAATGTTAATGGTATGACCACCAGGGAATACTCAAATCCTACTGAAATATAGGGTCCAGCATAACTGTTAAAATTTCTAGTAATTACATGGGGTAGAAATATTAGCATTCTTAGGCTGGGCACGGTGGCTCACGCCTGTAATCCCAGCACTTTGGGAGGCTGAGGTGGGCAGATCACCTGAGGTTGGGAGTTCGAGACTAGCCTGACTAACATGGAGAAACCCCGTCTCTACTAAAAATACAAAATTAGCCAGGCGTGGTGGCGCATGCCTGTAATCCCAGCTACTCAGGAGGCTGAGGCAGGAAAATTGCTTGAACCCAGGAGGTGGAGGTTGCGGTGAGCAGAGATCGCACCATTGCACTCCAGCCTGGGCAACAAGAGCTAAACAAAAAAGAAAGAGAGAAAGAGAGAAAGAAAGGAAGGAAGGAACGAAGGAAGGAAGCAAGGAAGGAAGGAAGGAAGGAAGGAAGGAAGGAAGGAAGGAAGGAAGGAAGGAAAGAAGGAAGATTAGCATTCTTCAACCAATCATAATGAATTTTTCTCTGTCTAGCCCCAAAATTAAAATGAGTCACAAAGACTGGTTTCTGAAGAAATCACATACCAAATCTGTACATTTTATTAGCCCTTATTCACATAGTAACAAGGGAAAAAATTGAATTTAAATAATGCTTTGAACAACATTAAGCAGTCATGGAATCTGAACTAGAATATTACCCGAGGCTGCCTCAGAAGTAGCATAGCCCACAGACAGTAGAGTCCAGGGTAGAGTTAACACTTAATCTGGAAGTCAACTGCATTGCACTTTGCTGATTGTTGCCTTTTTAGTGAAAAAGTAAAATATAATTTCACTTAATAGACAGAATTAAGAGTTGTAGTTCTCATGGAACTAGATAATAAAAATAACATAGTATTGATTTATACCAATTCTTAGGCATTGGCCAATGGAGTAGCTATATGGTCCAGAAAGTGGGCCTTAGATGACCAGAAGGTAAGAGAAACCCCAGTGTGGTGAACTGCTATGAAAAACTTTATGGAATTGTAAAGGAAACAAGGTAGGGTAGGCTGCTGCCCATTAAAAAATAAAACAAGAACAACAAATTTTGAATTCAGAATGGTACAGAAAGCAACAAGTAGTTACTGTGTGTGCTCTTGAGTATGCAAAATGATTAGTCACAGAGGTAATCGATGAATTAACAACAACAAAAAGGTGCATCCCACTCCATGCTCAGATGCTCAAAAATTGACTAATAATTGTTCTGTTTTTAACATTAACTTCAGAGGCTAAAAGCAAGTATGGGTTGTCTATTGGCAAAATCCAGGCAAGCTCATAGCTGGAAAATGGATTACATTGATTTATTGCTTATGATTTTAGGTATATACTTATGGGTCTTGACCAAAGGGATACTCATTCAAGATTTGAAAATGCATACCAGGTAACTGAATCAATGTCTCTAACACTATTAGAGGCCTTGGAAAAAAATATGTGATTTCAGTTTGTGCCTCCAACTTATACATCACTAATCAAGGAACCCATTTTGCTGCAAGTACAACAGCAGATTAAGACATAACATATACAATAAAATTATCATATAATTTTCCATCTACAAATTAATAAATATAGTGATAATTGGAGTGTGTAAATAAAATATATGCTTATTAAAGGAGTCAGGTCAAAAACATGGCAGAACAGGAAGCTCTGGACCCTCCTTTTTCCAGTGAACATACTGATTCAATAACAATTTCCTGTATGAGCTATTCAAAGATCAGTTGAGAGGCTCCTGTGTCCTGGGCAAGCACAAAACCAGCTGCATTAAAGATGGTTTAAATTGACTATTTACCACACTCTCTTACTGTAATTCTTTCCCCTGGCAAAGCACCACATGATTGGAAGTAAATTGCCGTTCCCAGCTTCTCCCTGGGGAAGAAAGGAGGGGCCTGGACTGTGTATCCAATGTTCTGACTTTTCAAAGGTCCACAGAAGAGACTTGTTTCTGTGTTGCCCGAATATGAAAGGTGACAAAAGGACCTATTCTCCAAGATATGTCATATGTTAGATCAAGTCTTAACAAATTTAAGAAGACTGAAGTTATATTAAATATCTTTTCCAACCACAATGGCATAAAGCTAGAAATTAACAGAAAAAACCCTGGGAATTTACAATGTAAAAATTAAACAGCATCCTCTTGACAACCCATGAGACAAAAAAGAAATCAAAAGGATAACTAGAAAATATCTTAAGACAAATGAAAATGGAAACACACCATACCATTGTGTTTCAGCCAAAGCAGTATTAAGAGGGAAGTTTATAGTGATAAACACTGACATTAAAAAATAAGAAAGATCTTCAATAGACGCAGAAAAAGTATTTGACCAAATTCAGCATCCTTTCATGATTAAAACCCTCAGCAAAATCAGCATAGAAGGGACATATCTTAACTCTACAAAAGTCATCTATGACAAACCCATAGCCAACATAATACTGAATGGGAAAGGTTGAAAGCATTCCCTCTGAGAACTGGAACAAGACAAGGATGCCCATTCTCACCGCTTCTATTCAACCTAGTACTGGAAGTCCCAGCCAGAGCAATCAGACAAGAGAAAGAAATAAAGGGCATCCAAAACAGTAAAGAGGAAGTCAAACTGTCGCTGTTTGCTAATGATATGATTATATACCTAGAAAACCCTAATGACTCCTCCAGAAACCTCCTAGAACTAATAAATGAATTCAGCAAAGTTTCAGGATACAAAATTAATGTGCACAAACCAGTAGCTCTGCTATACACCAACAGTGACCAAGCTGAGAATCAAATCAAGAACTCAACCATTTTTACAATAGCTGCAAAAAAATTAAAATACTTAGGAATATATCTAACAAAGAAGGTGAAAGACCTCTGCAAGGAAAACTACAAAACACTGCTGAAATAAATCATAGACAATGCAAACAAATGGAAACACATCCCATGCTCATGGAAGGGTAGAATCAATATTGTGAAAATGACCATAGTGCCAAAAGCAATCTACAAATTCAATGCAATTCCTATCAAAATACCACCACTATTCTTCACAGAGAAAAAAACAATCCTAAAATTCATATGGAACCAAAAAAGAGCCCAGATAGCCAAAACAAGACTAAGCAAAAAGAACAAATCTGGAGACATCACATTACCTGATTTCAAACTATACTATAAGGCATAATCATCAAAACAGCATGGCACTGGTATAAAAAATAGCCACATAGACCAATGGAACAGAATAGAGAACCCAGAAATAAAGCCAAATGCTTACAGCCAACTGATCTTTGACAAAGCAAACAAAAACATAAAGAGACCCAATTCAACAAATGGTGCTAGGATAATTGACAAGGCACACGTAGAGAAATAAAACTATATCCTCATCTCTGACCTTATACAGAAATCTACTCAAGATGGATCAAGTACTTACATCTAAGACCTGAAACCATAAAAATTCTAGAAGATTGCATCGGAAAAAAAACCCTTCTAGACATTGGCTTAGGCAAGGATTTCATGACCAAGAACCCAAAAGCAAATGCAACAAAAACAAAGATAAACAAATGGGACTTAATTAATCTAAAAAGCTTCTGCACAGCAAAAGAAACAATGAGTAGAGTAAACAGACAACCCACAGAGTGGGAAAAAATCTTCACAATCTATACATCTGACAAAGAACTAACAATCTATATATCTGACAAAGATATCCAGAATCTACAAGAAACTCAAAAAATTAGCAAGAAAAAAACAAATGATTCCATCAAAAAAGTGGGCTAAGGACACGAAAAGATAATTCTTAAAAGAAGATATACAAATGGCCAACAAACATATGGAAAAATGCTCAACATCACTAACTCTCAGGGAAATGAAAATGCAAATCAAAACCACAATGTAATACCACCTTACTCCTGCAAGAATGGCCACAATCCAAAAAATCAAAAAATAATAGATGCTGGCATGTATGTGGTGAAAAGGGAACACTTTTACACTGCCGACGGGGAAGGTAAACTAGTACAACCACTATGGAAAATTGTGGAGATTCCTTAAATAACTAAAAGTAGTGGTCTATTTCCAGGCAACCAGTGACCAGAGCGGAGAACTTGCCCCAGACCATGAGCCTCCCTCCTGAGAAAGGAAGCCAACTTACATGAGCCAACCACCATCTGCTCCCTAAAAACCTATTGAAATAAAAAATATTTTTTAAAAAAGAAAAGATCTAAAAGTAGAACTACCCTTTGATCCATCAATTTGACTACTGGATATCTACCCAGATAAAAAGAAGTCATTATACAAAAAAAGATATTTGCACACACATTGCACACAATGTGTACAGCAGCACAATTCACAATTGAAAAAATATGGAACCAACCCAAAAGCCCATCAGTCAAAGAGTGGATAAAGAAATTGTGGTATCTGTATACCATGGAATACTACTCAGACATAAAAAGGAACAAAATAATGGCATTTACAGCAACCTGAATGGAATTGGAGACCATTACTCTAAATGAAGTAACTCAGGAATGGGAAACCAAACATCATATGTTCTCACTTACAAGTGGGAGTTAAGCTATGAGAATGCAAAGGCATAAGAATAATGCAATAGACTTTGGGGACTCAGATGAAAGCATGGAAGGGGGGTGAGGGATAAAAGACTACAAATTGGGTACCCTGTATACTACTAGGGAGCTAGGTCCACCAAAATATCAGAAATCACCACTAAAGAACATATTCATGTAACCGAACACCACTTTTTCCCCCAAAACCTATGGAAATAAAAAATAAAAATAAGAAAGATCTTGGCTGGATGCAGTGGCTCACACCTGTAATCTCAACACTTTGGGAGGCTGAGGCAAGCAGACATCTTGAACCCAAGGAGTTCGAGACCAGCATAGGCAACATAGCAGGACCTCATCTCTACAAGAAATACAAAAATTAGCCAGGTGTGGTAGCATGCACCTGTAGCCCCAGCTACTCAGGAGACTGAGGTGAGAAGATCATTGAGCCCAGTAGGTCAAGGCTGTAGTGAGCAATGATCAGCAATGATCATGCCACTGCACTCTAGCCTCAGAGAAAGAGTGAGACCCTCTCTCAAAAATAAAAATAAAATAAGAATGATCTCAAAAAAAAACTTAACATTACATCTCAGAAAGAACAAAGTCCAGAGTAAGCATAAGAAAGGAAATAATACAGTTTAGAGCAAAAATGATTAATGAATCAATGCCTGTAACATTATTAGAGGCCTTGAAAAAATATATATAATTCAATTTGATTAGTTACAAAAGAAATAGAATGGAAAACAATAGAAAAAAATCAATGAAATGAGGAGTTGATTTTTAAAAGATCAACAACATTGACAAACCTTTAGCTAGACTAAAAAAATAGAGAAGACTCAAACAAATAAAATCAGAAATGAAAGAGGAGATGTTACAGCTTGTGCCACAGAAATATAAAATTGGTCATAGGAGACTACTATGCACAATTAGATGCCAAAGAATTAGATAACCTAGAAGAAATGGAAAAATTCCTTTTCCATTTACATATACATCCTACTAAGACTGTAGCATGAAAAAAGAGAAAATGTGAACAGACCTCTAGCTAGTAAGAGTATTTAATCAGTAATCAAAAACCTCCCAACAAAGAAAAGCCCAGGTCCAAAATGTCTTAGTGGTGAATTCTACCCAATATTTAAGGAACTAACATTATTGTCCTCAAACTATTCCAAAAAAGTTGAAGAGGAGGGAAAGTTTTCTAACTCATTTTATGAGGTAGAGATTACTCTGAGACGAAAGCCAGATGAAAATATTAGAAGAAAATAAAAATTATAAGCCAATATCCCTGATGAATATAGATGCAAAAATCTTCAACAAAATACTATCAAATTGAATTCAATAGCACATTTAAAAAATCATAAATTAAGACAAAAAATTTATCCCTGGAATGCAAAGATGGTTGAATATATGCAAATTAATCAATGTGATACATCACATTAACAGAACAAAGGACAAAAATCACATGATCATCTCAATACACGCAGAACAAGCAATTAACAAAAGTCAATACCTTTTACAACAAAGATAACTCAACAAATTAGGAATAGAAGGATACCAACTCAACATAATAAAAACCATATATGAAAGTCCATAGCTAACATCATAATCAATAGTGAGAAACTGAAAGTTTTTTTGTAAAGTCAGAAACAAGGCAAAAATACCCACTCTCACCACTTCTATTCAACATAGTGCTGGTAGTCCTAGCCAGAGCAATTAGGCAAGAAAAGGAAATAAAAGGCATCCACATAAGAAAGAAAGAAAGAAAGAAAATTACCTCTGTTCACAGATAATATGATCTTACATGCAGAAAACCCTAAAGATTCCACACACAAAAGAAGATTGTTAGAACTAATAAATGAATTTAGAAAATTGACAGGATACAAAAATCAGTTGTATTTCTATAAACCAACAACAAAAATCCAAAAAGGAAATTGAGGAAAAAAAAACCCAATTTACAATATCATCAAAAAGAATAAAATACGTAGGAGTAAACTTAACAAAGGAAGTAAAATACTTGTATACTGAAAACTACAAGGACAATTATTTAATGTGATAGATATTGCAATTACACTGATTTGATTTTAACAAATTATATGAATGTATAAAATTATCACATGTATCCCCAAAATATGTACAGCTATTGTGTCAATTAAAAAATAAAATAACTATAAAACATTGATAAAAGTAGACACAAATGAATGAAAAGACATCCATGTTCAATGATCAGAAGACTGAATACTGTTAGTGTCTGTACTAACCAAAGAAATACACAGGTTCAATGCAATCCCTACCAAAATCCCAGTGGCATTTTAGAAAAATAGAAGAAAGAATTCTAAATTCCACGTGGAACCAGAAAAAAACCCTGAATAGCCAAAATAACTGTAGGAAAGAAGAGCAAACCTTGAGGCATCATGGTTTCTGACTTCAAAACATATTACAAAACACAGTCACTACACAGGGTGTTCCTGGCATAAAAGAGTCATCTAGAACAACAGAACAGAATAGAGAGCCCAGAAATGAACCCACACTAATGCAGTCAACCGATCTTCCACAAAAATGCCATGAATACACACAAGGAAAGGATAACTCAAGGATAATGGTGTTGGGGGAACTGGATATACACATGCAAAAGAATGAAACTGGACCCTTACCTTGCACTATAGAGAAAAATCAAATCAAAATGAATTAAAGACTTAAACATAAGACTTGAAACTGTGACACTCCTGAAAGAAAATATAGAATACAAGCTTTATGACACTGGTCTTGGCAATAATTTCTTGGCTATGACACCAAAAGCATAGGCGTTTGTAGTATGGTCCCAAACTTGAGACCACCTCAAACTGAAAAGCTTCTGCACAGCAAAGGAAACAAGCAACAAAGTGAAAAAGCAACCTATGGGATAGGAAAAAATAGTTGTAAACCCCTTATCTGATAAGAGAATAAAACCCAATATATAAGAAACTCCTAATTTAATAGCAAAAAGCCAAATAACCCAATTAAAAAAATGAGCAAAGGTCTTGAATAGACAGACATTTCTCCAAAGAAGACATACAAATGGACAAGAGGCATATGAAAAGATGCTCAACATCACTAATCATCAAGGAAATGCAAAAACAAACCACAGTGAGATATCATTTCACACATTACAATGGGCATTTTCAAAAAAATAATAATAAGTGTTGGCGTGGAAAGGGAGAAACTGGAATCCTTGTGCACTGTTGGAATGTGAAATGGCATAACAGCTATGGAAAACAGTATGAAGCTTCCTCAACAATTTATAAATAGAAATACCACATGAACCAGCAATCTCATTTCTGGGTATTTATTCAGAAAGATTGGAATCAGGATCTCAAAGACATATTTCCACTCTCATGTTCATTGTGGCATTACTCATAATAGCCAAGATGTGAAAGAAATCAATAAGTATCAGTCAACAGATGAATGGATAAATAAAATGTGGTATATACACACAACAAAATTTTATTCAGCTTTAGCAAAAAAGAAACTATTATCACATATGATAGCATGAATGAGCCTTAAAAATATTATGCTAAGTGAAATATTCAGTCACCAAAGGACAAATGACTGTGTGATTCCTCTTATATGAAGTATCTAAAGTGGTCAAACTCACAGAAGCAGAAAGTAGAAGGGTGGTTGCCATGGGATAGGAGGAGCGAAAAATGAAAAGTTGCTTCTCAACAGCTACACAGTTTCAGTTATGCAAGACAAAAAACTTTTAGAGATCTACTGTACAACATGGTGCTTGTCATTAATAATACCCTATTGTACACTTAAAATTTTTGAGGGTGTTCTCATGTTTTGCGCTTTTTGTCACAATTTTTTAAATGTGTTTACTAAATTGGGGGATGATAATGCACTGAAGGAATGAATTGCAAGATCAAATGAATGTTTGTTATATTTAATATACATGAAAGTGGAATTATTATTGGATAGATAGTTGAAATAACACTGGAATATAGGGGAAAATATGGGGAAAACATAGAAATTTATTGAAACATCTTACCTATTTCTAAATTTTTTTCTTTTTCTTTAATTGATTCTGTAGTGCCAGGACCTGAATTATATTTATGAGTTCCAAAGTAAGGATCAATTATTAAGTAGTTTCTCTTTCCATGCCTAATCTGGGATTAACAATTACTATCTCTGTCCTACTCAGTGGACAAGATAGTCATTTTAAGTTTTTACTTATGAAACACTACTCCCTATGACTGGAAACGAATGAAGGGGAAAGTGCTGGTCAGACTCACATTGCTGGCTGGTTATATAGGTCAGTCCTCCTTCTGAATCTGCTAATATTACCTACAGAGGGAAGTCTGGTTGAAAATAAAATGGGAATATGAGGAAATGATTGTTGATGGAACATAAACCTATAAATGGATAATAAAGGGAAGATAAATTTACCTTGGTACCTTATACGTAGGTGAGAATAAAAGAATAATATTATCTTTCTACAATATTAACAGATTCCCGTAAAGTGGAGCTATTTTCTGGCAGAAACCTCCTCCTTTGTTTGAAGCTGAAAGTCCATGAAGGATGCAAGTGGATTTAAGAAACAAGTAATCTCAAGTTACATATGTGATGCATCCCCATGATATTATTGACATGTAGACAAACACTTGAAATAATTCTCATGTAGCTTTATCTTCTGGCTTCCATTTTACAGGATATACTTACTAAAGAGAACAGACTACTTTTGAGAGGTAACATACAAGAACATTTGCCCCTGCCCCCCAATATAATCACCACAGATTTTCAAACAAAAGCTTGTAAGATGCATAATTTATTCTGGTGATGGAAGCAATAGAAACTGGATAGTTAAATTGAGTTTTCAGAGACAATACTGATATCTTGAGACATATGTCAGCAATAGTGTCTTCATGAGATCAGTTCAGTGGAATGACAATCAAGCCCTTCTGGAGATTCTTTGAGGTACATAGTCTTCTTTAACAAACTCCCTTTTTGCTTAAATTAGGCAGAGTTGTTTTTATCACTTGAAATTAAAAACCTTGAGTATTACCAAATTATATATTTAAAGGGAGGAGGCTGTTAAGTATAGGCCCTAAAATGTGGAATTGGATGAATACAGAAAGTAGGACAGAATTAAATTGGCACCACACCATCCAGGCAAGAACATGGAGAATCTTACTACATGACAATGAAATATTTGATTCAATGATTGCCCATACCTAAAGATACAGACATAAGGTTCAAGAAATCACAGTGGAGGCTATAAAAGCTGGGAAATTGGTAGGAAAAACACAGAACGCTAGGCTTCATTTGTTATTTCTTAGAGTTTTCTGTAAAATCAATATGGCACAAGAAAGAGACAGTCTGAAGGTCACCACTGTGGAATTAGAGAGAGAAAGGAAATACAGAAAGAAAATTTCTTTCTTGAAATTGAGACTGGCAGGGCCAGGTAATGGGAACAGAGAATAAAGAAGACACTTAGCAGAAGAAAAAATTCAAAAAATTCTTAGTCTCTACTAGACAGGGAGGCAGTGGGAAGCCAGGATGAAATTCAGAGTGGGGCCTCCCAACCAAGGAAAGTGACTCAGCATCATAGGAAATGACTATTGTAAATGCATCAGTGAAGGCAAGATCTGGGCCATTTACTACTTAACACACCATGAAGAAAATCCAAAGTAATGATTACATTTCTTCACTCTAAAATACTTCATACTGCTTGACTTGCATAAAAATCAAACTTATTAAGTGGCTAATCTTTGAAGTTGAATCTGAAAGAGATGACACAGCATAGTCATGAGCTCAATCTAAGTAGCCAGACTTGATTTCAAGTCACATATGACAGTCACCTCTCTGCTCTCTCTAAACTTCAGTTTTCTAATCTGTACATTAGGGGTTGTCCTTAAAATTTATATGAGAATTAATTAAAATGAGGCACAAAACCAACAAAGCACATTTCCAGACACATAGCAAGCACTGAATAACTATTATTATGGGTTCTTATTGCAAAACATTTAGATAGAGCATGAATCTTAAATTAAGGTTAATGAATATGGTGAAAACTGTCATTTGGAAGTTTTAAAGATATGTTCTTAACTAAAAGATTATATGATTATAGCTCTTTTCCACTACAGCTAATAACAGAAGGTTCACAGGAACACTCCGATAGTCAATTTGATGTTTAGATCATGATTAAATAAATAATAAAAATATGGATTTCAAATATATGTTGTAATATGGTTTGAATATTTGTCCCCTCCAAATCTCATGTTGAAATATGATCCCCAGCATTGGAGGTGGGGTCTGGTGGGAGGTGTTTGGGTCATGGGGGCAGATCCCTCATGAATGGTTTGGTGTCATCTGGTGGTGCTGAGCGAGTTTTCACCCTGTTACATACCATGAGATTGGATTGTTAAAAAGAGCCCGGCACCTCCTCCCGTCTCACATGCTCCCTCTCTTGTCATCTGATCCACTGGCTCCCCTTAGTGTTCTTCCATGAGCAAACACTGTCTGAGGCCTCACCAGAAGCAGATGCTGATGTCATGCTTCTTGTACAGCCTACAAAATTGTAAGCCAAATAAACTTTTCTTTATAAATTACCTAGCCTCAGGGTATTTAGCAATGCAAAATGGACTAACACAAGTAGTAACAAAGGTAATCAGGAATTTGTCACATAATAAGAAATATTCAAGGGAAAATATCCTCCTACAGGGGGCAAAATAAAACTTGATTGAGAATCTCCTCTCACAACGTAATGAAGTTCATTGTTCATTTTACAAAGACAAAACAGCAAATATAAGGTATCCGTGGTTAAAAAAAAATGGGCAAACTTTATGACACAGACTGAATATACAAGTCTACTCCTAACTCTGTTCCCACCTTACCAACCCTAAATTGGTACTAAGGAAAGAAAATAAATGAAGAAAAGTTTAAGAATCCTGATTAATACAATACCCATACTCCTTTCTTACATTCATTGGAGAAAAATATATTAAATATGGGTTTTTACTCTGCAGAAAAGCAAAGAAAAGCTATCAAACATTAAAATTCCTCTCTATCACCACATGTTCTTAGTAGAGCAAGATAAACAGAGATCCTCACTTTGGTATCTCCAGGCAAGGAGAAAAACAGATGAGGAAGAAAAATCACATAAGCACCAATAAACTGTGACTCAGGAGAACTGAAGAGAATACATAAAACAAGCTTGCTGAAGGAACAACAAGCTAATAGATAAACAGTGTTTCAATGGAACTCTATAAAACAATGAAAAGAAACTTTACCTACATTCATCAATATGAAGGAATCCCATAAACATAATATTGAACTAAAGAAGAAAATTCATTAAGGATACACACAGTTTAATTTGATGTTTTTCAGGAGTGTGGGAATAGTTTATGATATACATACATTAAAATTTTTTATTTTAACACATACAAATGTGCATTTACTTACCTATATGTTATTGTAGGGTTATAGATTTTTTTTCTGGTGTGAGTCTACAGATTAGTTCCTCACTTTTTAAATCATTGATAAAATATCTAATGATGAACAAAAATTTCAAAACAACTATGAAGCAAACTCGGTATATATAGACTATCAGTTAATCTGGTAGGCTGTTTGAGTACAAGTCAGTTAAGTAAATGGCATACAATAAAATTGAAAGTATCTGTTCATAGTAAATGAAGAGGAAAATGACAGAGAGACCAAAAAAACTAGAAAAATGATCATCAACTGAGTGACAGAGACAATGATGATTCAATAAAAAATATTTAGCCTTCCTGCAATATTGAACTCAGAGCAGAAAAAGCATTTAAATACATAATTTTAAAACTTCTTCCTTAAATAAAGAAAAATTTAAATCTTCCAATAGAAGCATATGGCAGTATATGGAAGGAAAAACTAATGTAAAATAATCAGCAGGGATTTTTAAAAGATCTTTTCAGTCATACTGAATTTCTATAACAAGAAATATTTCCTGAGACATTGAAGTAGGAAGAAAATAAAGAGTCAATTAAGAGTAAAAAATTAAGCTGGGCTCAGAATACTACAAATAACGTTCAAGTCCAAAAAATAATACAACAAAAATGTTCACAAATTTCTGTGGTGATTAAAATATGAGCCAAGAATTTTAGACCCAGCTAAATTGTCCCCCTAGAACATAGATGTTCCCAGACATTAAAGAATTCAAGAAAATAACACTGACTATATATGAATATAAAACTAAAACTAAACAAATGAGAGAATTACATTTCAAAAATATATCAATGGTATAAAATTTGACAAGACAGTAATGCATTCTTAATGTTTTTTATAATTTTTTTCTTAACTTAAAAATAGATCTTTTAGAAACTAATAATCCATATGATGGAAAACAAGCTCACCTACTCCTTTAGTTTGTATGTTTCTTTTTCTTGTGCTAAATTCAAGTAAAATTAAAATTGACATATCTTATTGTTAAACAGTATTTGGTTAACAATAAAATCTCATTTTTTATAAAACTATTATTTCTATCCAGCATTTTTTGTTACAATGCATGAAAAAAAATCTGAAATTATAATTACTTAATGTGAACTCAATTGTTATTTCTGGATGGAGAAATTTTTTTTTCTGTGAAGTGTGAACTCTTTGTAATGCATTTTAATGCCTTTGTAATGTGTTTTACAAAGACAGTAACATATTCTTTAAAAAATGAAAGTTGAAACACAGAAAATTGTAGATGCAACTTGAAGATAACATTTGCCTAGCCACTTTGACCTTTGCTCTAACAAAATCTTTCATGTTCAGTATTACTTAACAGATAAAAACCCTATATCTGACTGCACAACAAACACACCATGAATTTTTAAAATAATAATTAATTAATTTTAAAAGGCAGAATGTCATGTTAGCGGCCAAACCAGTTGAAGAATCTTAGAAAAAAATTTCCCTCCTTAATACCCTGTCGAGCAAAAGTACTAATTGACTCTAGAAGAAAAGATGGTGAAGAAAGAAAGGAAATGATTTTAAAAGACTCAAGGCTCTGCTCTCTCACAAATCATATAAATGATTATTATTCTGCATGATACAGACTCAATGATTGTAATGTGATCTGTTAAGGACACTATTGTATTTCTCTGATTGGTACAGAATTTTCTAGTATACCTAAGGCTATAAGGCTCAGTGGGGGCCTTCTACTCCTAAAGCAATATATAAATGCAATACATAATCTTGTATTTGAAAGTTTAAAAAAATAAAATTTGTCCTAAAAAATTAAATGGTCCCTTTCATAAGTAAAAAAATAAAAGAAAACTAGTTTAAGCTAAAAAAAGAAACTTCATAATGTACACCCTGTCAAAACAAAAGTTGTAGTAGTTTCAAGTTTGAGGAAAAAAAAGAACACTTTTATGGAGGGCAATTATTTCTTCCCAAAAGATAAGGCTTTCTTTTGAATGATCTGTTTATTTGTGGAGTTGAGTTAAATTTATATTTAAATTGTTTTATTTGTAAATATAATTAAATAATGGTAAATTCTTGAAATGAGTTACCTGGAAAATTGAGTGACCTTCAATTAAAAAAATAAAATCTTTCCAAAGAATGACACTGATGTGGATTGGCTCTGTGTCCCCTCCCAAAACCCATCTTGAATTGTAATCCCCATGTGTCAAGGGAGAGATCTGTAATCCCCAGGTATTGCGGGAGGGAGGTGATTGGATCATGGGGGTGGTTTCTCCCATGCTGTTCTAATGATAGTGAGTAAGTTCTCATGAGATCTGATGGTTTCATAAGGGGCTCTTCTCTCTTAGCTTTCTCTTCCCTCTCGCCTGCCACCACGTAAGATGTGCCTGCTTCCCCTTCCACCATGACTGTTAAGTTTCCTGAGGCCTCCCCAGCCATGTGGAAGCGTGAGTCAATCAAACCTCTTTCCTTCATAAATTACCCAGTCTCAGGTGTAGTGTCTTTATAGCAGTGCGAAAATGAACTAATACAGACACCCATCCAGATCTGAGGTCTTTGTGAACCCCTGCAAATCTAGTTAACACTTGACCTCTGCTGTCTTCAGTCTTATTATTCCAAATATGATTTTAAATCCAGTCGCATTTCCAAATCTGTAGTAACACATAGCACTGTTTTTCACAAGACCCACCTAAAGTTATTTCAGCTATTTCAGTGGAAAACGAAGACTTTTAGTAATATGATCTAATAATTATTTCCTTTAGTTTGTAATCCTCTTGTTATTAAAATGAATTATGCAGCAAAATATGCCTCTACCTTCTCTCTTTTCAAATAGGACCATTTCTTCTATTTTCTTTTTTTTTTTTTTCTCAGTTAGTATGGCACATCTTTTTTTTTATGGTTACAGATTTTATTTTATTCTTTTATTATTATTATTATACTTTAAGTTTTAGGATACATGTGCACAACATGCAGGTTTGTTACATATGTATACATGTGCCATGTTGGTGTGCTGCACCCATTAACTTGTCATTTAGCATTTCTTCTATTTTCTGTTTCTATCAGCCTATGAAATTGTTCTTCCTGAAAGGGCCATATAAAATGGAAAGAGTAAATCATTATTGCTCTTCTTGTTTTAAAGTGAGTCAATATTATTCTAATTCAAAGCTACCAGGATGGTATACCAACAAACAGCACCAATGAAATCCACCAGTTAGTATCCACAAGCAATTATAGTGATTAACCTAAATAAACTGGAATCGCAAATTGCCACATCTAATTATTTCATATTACTTGTTACCTATTTGGATAAAAAAGTTTAAAATGTACTTTGAGTTAGTTATTTTTCATCAAAGAATTAATTATTTATATTCTTGAATATTTAAATTGTTTCCATTTTACAAGTAATTATTGTTTTATTAAAATAAATTCCTAAGATTTAAAATGCTTATTATTATATTCACATTTTTAAGACTTATATATAACCAAATATAACACATATATATTACTCAGAAAAACAATATAGAGCTCTGATTTCTTTGAATCCTAGATAACATTGGACAGTACATAATTCTTCATCTTTAATACTATATTCAATATTTTATTATATTTAATAATACTTTTAAAATATAAAAATATTTTGTCAAGATTTGAGCATTCTGATATACCATAAATCTTGCTTTTGCCACTATATTCTTTATTTTTTCCTTATATAGAATTACTGTGCAAATTTTGTATTTTTAATCTTGATATTTTATGTTAAATTATACATCTAGGTATCTAAATAATATAATCATTTTTATGTATATAGGTAAATGTTTTATTGTGCTTCTATTGTGTCTAACTGGAATTTACATATTTCAAAATAAATTAAAAGAAAGGAAAAAAGTTTTCTGGTGTGAGAAAAGTATAGCATCAATTTGTTATACCAGGTATGCATTGATAGTACAGCTTTAATCAATTTCATGTGCTTCTTTAACTTTCAAATATTAATTGCAAACTTATAAAGTCAGATACTGTGCTAGGAATTGGATTTAGAGCAATACCAAAAACAGGCACAGTGTCTTCCTGAACAAAGTTGGAAGAGGAAGGAAGACATTACTCAAATAATCAGACCAATGAAAGGTAAAATGGTATTCTTGACAGATGCTACAAGTTTATACACAATTCTATGAGGATTTATAAAATGGGTATTTAACCTAGAAATTATTTCCTATTTATTTATAAGAAACTACTATAATTTATTTTTTGCCTAAAACTAAAACCTAGCCACACCTCAAACATTTGTTTCCTATAGCAACCATCTATGAAATGATGTGGTCCATGTTTCTTACATTTTAGATATCTAGCCTAGGCAACATGGTTATACCCTGCCTCCAAAAAAATACAAAAAAAAAAAAAAAAAAAAAAAGCTGGGCATGCTGGCACACACCTTCAGTCCTAGCTTCCCTGGAGGCTGAGGTGAGAGGATCTCTTGAGCCCTATGGGTTGGGAGGAGGTGAGGCCACGTGGAGGCTGTAGTGAGCCATGACCATGCCATTGCACTCCAACCTGGCCGATGGAGTGAAAAAAATAAAGAAAGAAAGAAAAGAAAAGAAAAAGAAAAAAAAAGAAAAGGAAAAAGAAAATCTTCTTAGTTCACATATGACCTAAGTGGAAGTGTAGCATGAAGAAGAATTTGGATAAAGAAAACAAAATGCTCCCCTGAAAGTCTGACTAAAAATATTTACATGTAAATTGAGCACAGCCAAAAGATAAAAATTTTCATTGAAATGGTAATGCAATGAATTTTGTAACACAAAAGCAACAGAATTCATATACAGATGATCCCCAACTTATAATGGTCGGACAGGATTTTTTTATTATACAATGGTGCAAAGGCAATAATGCATTCAGTGGAAATCGTGCGTCTAATTAGAATTTTGATCTTTTCTGGGGCTAGCAATATGCTGTATAATAATCTATCACAATGCTGGACAGCAGCAGCCAGCCATAGCTCCCAGTCAACCACAAAATCACTAGTGTTAACAACTGATAGTCTACAGTGGACTGTGTTGCCAGATGATTTTGCCCAACTGTAGGCTTATGTAAGTGCTCCTCAGCACGTTTAAGGTAAGCTAGGCTAAGCTATGATGTTTGGTAGGCTAGGTGTATTAAATGCATTTTTGACTTATAATATTTTCAACTTACAATGGGTTCATCAGGACATTTTAACCTCATCATAAGTTCAAGAGCATCCATACTCTTAAAAGAGAAGACTTATTCAAACGTTAAAGAGCAGACAAAGTAAGGGAAAATCTTATGCAATAAAAACTGCTCTCTTTAAACTCTTTTGGGAACTTAAAATCTATCGGGTATAAATTCACTACTGTAAATACAACATCATTTTTAAAGATGATGAAAGTATCTTAAATGTAATGAGCAGATAATAAAACTTTGTATCTCTTTGAGATTTTATTGTTAATTAGAGTTAAATGTAAAACAATTCCTAAAATAGACATGGTACTTTAAATATTTAAATAACTTAAAAGAAGACTAAAAAATAAAATCATAAATGCATCCTTTTAAGCCTTTTTCTCCAGTGTTACTCTTAAACTTGCAAATGAATCAGATCTCCTTATCAACCAAAACATCATAATTTAGAGCTTTTCATTTGTTTACCTTTTCCTACTTATACTACAATTTTAAAAGTTAAGTTGCTATAAGGAGGAAACCCAAAATTGAGTAGAAGAAGTAGTTTCCTACTTCTCATTCAAATTCTGTTCCAAGATTGGCAGGCAGTTGCTCCATTCTCTTAAGTCATTCATCATCCAAGTGACTTTTATCACGTTTCTCTTCCATCTCGTGGTTATGGTTCTTACCTGCATTGTCAAAGCTGGGCTTCAGGTATATCCATGTCCAGCTAACAAGAAGGCAAGTGTGGTTGTGTACCTCCAATGCTTTAAAACACAGTCCCAAAAGTAACATAGGTTATTTCTGCTCCAGTTCCACTGAAAATAACTTAGTCACATAACCATATTGCAGGAAAGAGAGAGCTTGGAAACAGTCTCCAGCTGGTGGGCAAATGCCTAACTATAACTTTATTTCTTAAAAAAAAAAAAAAGGGAAACATATATAGGTGCACATTTAGCAGTTTCCCCCATGAAGCTCCCTTATACTAAATGTAATCATGCTTAAAATATGTATCTATCATCAGATAGGTTACCTTTTAAAAGAAAAACAACACCATGATTTGTCACTTACCATCTTATTTTTGTCACCTAACATGTTCATTCATTCTATAAATATTTATTGAGGAGCCATTATTTATTGGTACAGTAATAGGTGTGTAGGACATAAAGAATTATATATCAGAGTCCTAGACTTCGAGAAGTTTGCCATCTAATTGAAATTGACAGTGCCAATTGCTGTGACAGGTGATTTAACAAGTTTGCCATTGAAAGAGTTTAAAATATATCACTCTACCATATTAAGTATTTAGGTTAAAGGCACTTAAAAAAATCAAATGCAAAAGAATCAATCTGACCTTTATGCTGTTTCTTAAAAGCAGAAGATGAAATTCCCATATGAAAGATGCCCTCCTATACTAGAAAGATACAACATACTTATCCTCAAGGACAATAAATTGAAACAGAATTTTGAATAGACTTTGTGAAAAATAACTCTTACCTTATAAGTATCTCCACAATCTAGTTGCTTTTTCACAACTTACTACTCCATGTCCAATTAGTATGTAAGTAATTGAGTCTTCTTTTTTGGGTTTTCATATTTTTATGAGGGCTCCCATGCCATGTAAAACTTGTACTATGCTTTTCTCCTGTTAATCTATGTTACGATGTTTTAATTCCCAAACTTAGCTGAGACCCTAAGAGAATGAAGGTGGAACTTTTCCGCTCCTGAGTTTTGTGGCAACTCAGATAGGACCCTAAAAGGCTGGTATATCCCCCTGCTTTGAAGCCTGCAGATGGGATCCTGAGAAGGCTGACAAAAGTCTGCAATAGGTAGGAATTCTTACCAGCATCGGCTCTCCTGGATCTCTTATATAGTGGCCAGTTCAGAGGAAAGTATAAAATGTTTCTTTGTTCATTCTTTTCCAAATTTGGATTGGAAGGACAAAAACATTTATAAGAATTGATTATTTGAAATGTGGACTCTCTAGTGAATTTTGTTCTGGGTACTCACAAATTATTTACCTACAGCCTTCCAGGAATAGTGCTTGTTCTTTTGTCTCTGTCTTGTTATGTGATTTGTTATAAGGAGGAACCACATAATAGAAGACTTACATGTTAGACCTAAAACCATAAAAACCCTAGAAGAAAACCTAGGCAATACCATTCAGGACATAGGCATGGGCAAGGACTTCATGTCTAAAACACCAAAAGCAATGGCAACAAAAGCCAAAATTGACAAATGGGACCTAATTAAACTAAAGAGCTTCTGCACAGCAAAAGAAACTACCATCAGAGTGAACAGGCAACCTACAAAATGGGAGAAAATTTTCACAACCTACTCATCTGACAAAGGGCTAATATCCAGAATCTACAATGAACTCCAACAAATTTACAAGAAAAAAAAACAAACAATCCCATCAAAAAGTGGGCGAAGGATATGAACAGACAGTTCTCAAAAGAAGACATTTATGCAGCCAAAAAACACATGAAAAAATGCTCATCATCACTGGCCATCAGAGAAATGCAAATCAAAACCACAATGAGATACCATCTCACACCAGTTAGAATGGCAATCATTAAAAAGTCAGGAAACAACAGGTGCTGGAGAGGATGTGGAGAAATAGGAACACTTTTACACTGTTGGTGGGACTGTAAACTAGTTCAACCATTGTGGAAGTCAGTGTGGCGATTCCTCAGGGATCTAGAACTAGAAATACCATTTGACCCAGCCATCCCATTACTGGGTATATACCCAAAGGATTATAAATCATGCTGCTATGAAGACACATGCACACGTATGTTTATTGCGGCACTATTCACAATAGCAAAGACTTGGAACCAACCCAAATGTCCAACAACGATAGACTGGATTAAGAAAATGCGGCACATATACTCCATGGAATACTATGCAGCCATAAAAAATGATGAGTTCATGTCCTTTGTAGGGACATGGATGAAGCTGGAAACCATCATTCTCAGCAAACTATCGCAAGGACAAAAAACCAAACACCACATGTTCTCACTCACTGGTGGGAATTGAACAACGAAAACACGTGGACACAGGAAGGGGAACATCACACACCCGGGACTGTTGTGGGGTGGAGGGAGGGGGAAGGGATAGCATTAGGAGATATACCTAATGCTAAATGATGAGTTAATGGGTGCAGCACACCAACATGGCACATGTATACATATGTAACAAACCTGCACATTGTGCACATGTACCCTAAAACTTAAAGTATAATAATAATAAAATTTTTTTTTAAAAAAAGAAATTCTCCTTTCATCTTGAGAGCTTGGCTTTGTGACCAGTGAAAATATTCTCTCTGGTTTATACCACTTCGGCGGGTACGGGCTTGCATTAGGTGGCTTGCCAGCAGACTACAGCCCAAAACGCAATGTCTTTTTGCCTGACCATACCAGCAATCCTTGGTGTTTGTCTTAATTGTCTCAACCCCATTGCCTTGTTAACAGTGAAGGTACTCAGTTTCTGAGGCTATCATTAAGACAGCGTTTGAATCTTGAGGGGAACAGCATCTTTTGCACCCCTAGGGACACACTTCTGGCATCCATGGTTAAGCCACAAAAGGCTTATTGGTTTCCAGCCATAAAAAGGGCTTATCGGGTTTGAGTCACAAAGTAGGTATACTTCTGGAGATTTGGACTTTTGCATCTAAAAGTTTTGATGTTTGTTTTTTGGTTTTTTTAGAGCACTCTCATCGGTACCTATAGGAAGATTTGACTTAAAAGAAGAAAGTAAGCACTTATAGAAATTAACCATTTTTTCAGAAAAATAGGAACTAACCTAAAAGTTTTTCAAGTTCACATAATCTGGTATAACCTTTGGTAAATAAAAAATCTAGTTTAAGTCGTTGGTTTAATTGAAACAGGCACGTCTTCAAAGTTAACAACATTAAATATAATGCAGACATACAACTTCTACCTGAATTTACTAATCAAAAAGCTTATGTATATTTAAGATTGTAAAAGTATAAATTCAACCTGAGAATAACATGTAAAATGAATAAATTTATTGATGTATGTCAAACATATCAATAAAAAACAAAGTTTTGTTTTGTTTTCTTTCTGGAGACACAGTCTTACTCTGTTGCCCAGACTGGAGTGCAATGGCACGATTTCAGCTCACTGCAACTTCCGCCTCTCAGGTTCAAGTGATTCTCCTGTCTCAGACTCCCAAGTAGCTGTGATTACAGGCACCCGCCACCATGCCCGGCTAATTTTTGTATTTTTAGTAGAGACGGGGTTTCACCATGTTGGCAAGGCCGGTCTCAAATTCCTGACCTCAGGTGATCCACCCACCTTGGCCTCCCAGAGTGCTGGGATTACAGGTGTGAGCTACCTGCCCAGCTAAAAACAGTTTTAAAAACCCATATGTTTTGACTTTTAGGTTCCTTGCTTCTGTGATTTTTAAAATACTTGCCTGATTTATCTGCAGGCTAAAATAATTTCATCAATAATTAGCATTTCTAATTTTTCTTTCACCTTGTTTTTCATTCTTTCTCTCTTTTTTAGATGGGGTCTGGCTATGTTGGCCAGGCTGATCTCAAACTCCTGGGCTCAAGTGATCCCCCGACGTCTGCCTCTTGGGTAGCTGGGACTACTGGCACATGCCACCACACCAGCTTTTTCTCTCATATTTCTGACCTGAAATTACTAAAAGCTAAAATTTCACTTTTTTGTAGCCTTGCAAACTAAAGTTGGACAATTCCATATAGACTTCAGAAAAATCACAACAGCTTATATATGAACAATCTTCAAGCCTATTTCCCTATGGAACACTCAGGCATGACTTAAAGACATCCAAACTAAAGATACTTCAAACCCAATATTTAGAAACTTTTTCAACTGATTACCCCAGATTTAAAAATTGGATGAATTTATAATTTTTCCAACCATTAATTTTTGTTTTCTTTTCTTTGCCTTAGAAATACCTCTTGTTCTCACGTCATATAAAGACATAACTTAGATGGAAGTCCACTTACAACATCACCTCCTAAAATGAGACACAACTTCTTAACTGGACTAAAGTATTCTCATTACTAAGAAACTGATTAAGTAAGATACTGGAATATATACTTAAGTGTGTTCTTTTCTGCTTGCTTCCATTTATATTTTTTTCTCCCTTTGCAGATCTCTTGCTACTGAGCCACTAACCCAATTCTTTTCTCCATAGCCACCAAGTCAGGTTTTAATGTGTGAAACATTTAGGAAGTTTCAGACAGGGGAATAAAGGAGTTAAAAATATATCACTCTTCCGTATTAACTATTTGAGTTAAAGGCACTTAGAAATAACAGCAGGAGCAAAAAGATCTCTTTGACCTTCATGCTGTTTCTTAAAGGCAGAAAAAATACCCATGTGAACGATGCCCTCCCTACACTAGACAGATGCAAAGATAAGAAGTCAAAACCAAAAGAATTCTATTAATATTATTATACTTTAAGCTCTAGGTTACATGTGCACAATGTGCAGGTTTGATACATAGGTATACATGTGCCATGTTGGTTTGCTGCACCCATCAACTCATCATTTACATTAGGTATTTCTCCTAATGCTATCCCTTCCCCAGCCCCCCACCCCCTGACAGGCTCAGGTGTGTGATGTTCGCTGCCCTGTGTCCAAATGTTCTCATTGTTCAATTCCCACCTAGGAGGGAGAACATGTGGTATTTGGTTTTCTGTCCTTGTGATAGTTTGCTCAGAGTGATGATTTCCAGCCTCATCCATGTCCCTACAAAAGGACATGAACTCATCCTTTTTTTATGGCTGCGTAGTATTCCATTGTGTGTATGTGCCACATTTTCTTAATCCAGTCTATGACTGATGGACATTTGAGTTGGTTCCAAGTCTTTGCTATTGTGTATAGAGCCACAGTAAACATACATGTGCGTGTGTCTTTATAGTAGCATGATTTATAATCCTTTGGGTATATACCCAGTAATGGGGTCACTGGGTCAAATGGTTTTTCTAGTTCTAGATCCTTGAGGAATCTCCACACTGTCTTCCACAATGGTTGAACTAATTGACACTCCCACCAACAGTGTAAAAGCATTCCTATTTCTCCACATCCTCTCTAGCATCTGTTGTTTCCTGACTTTTTTTTTCTTTTTTTTTTTATTATACTTTAAGTTTTAGGGTACATGTGCACAATGTGCAAGTTAGTTACATATGTATACACGTGCCATGCTGGTGCGCTGCACCCACTGACTCGTCATCTAGCATTAGGTATATGTCCCAATGTTATCTCTCCCCCCTCCCCCAACTCCACAACAGGCCCCAGAGTGTGATGTTCCAATGATCGCCATTCTAACTGGCATGAGATGCTATCTCGTTGTGGTTTTGATTTCCATTTCTCTGATGACCGGTGATGGTGAGCATTTTTTCATCTGTCTGTTGGCTGCATAGATGTCTTCTTTTGAGAAGTGTCTTTGAGAAGTGTCCTTTGCCCACTTTTTGATGGGGTTGTTTGTTTTCTTGTAAATTTGTTTGAGTTCTTTGTAGATTCTAGATATTAGCCCATTGTCAGATGGGTAGATTGCAAAAATTTTCTCCCATTCTGTAGGTTGCCTGTTCACTCTGATGGTAGTTTCTTTTGCCATGAAGAAGCTCTTTAGTTTAATTAGATCCTATTTGTCTATTTTGGCTTATGTTGCCATTGCTTTTGGTGTTTTAGTCATGAAGCCTTTCCCCATCCCTATACCCTGAATGGTACTGCCTAGGTTTTCTTCTAGGGTTTTTATGGCTTTAGGTAGTATAGTTGAAGTCAGGTAGCGTGATGCCTCCAGCTTTGTTCTTTTTGGTTAGGATTGTCTTGGCAATGCGGGCTCTTTTTTGGTTCCATATGAACTTTAAAGTAGTTTTTTCCAATTCTATGAAGAAAGTCATTGGTAGCTTGATGGGGATGGCATTGAATCTATAAATTACCTTGGGCAGTATGGCCATTTTCACGATATTGATTCTTCCTATCTATGAGCATGCAAGGTTCTTCCATTTGTTTGTGTCCTCTTTTATTTTATTGAGCAGTGGTTGGTAGTTCTCCTTGAAGAGGTCCTTCACTTCCCTTGTAAGTTGGATTCCTAGGTATTTTATTCTCTTTGTAGCAATTGCGAACGGGAGTTCACTCATGATTTGGCTGTTTGTCCGTTATTAGTGTATAAAATGCTTATGATTTTTGCACAGTGATGTTGTATCCTGAGACTTTGCTAAAGTTGCTTATCAGCTTAAGGAAATTTGGGGCTGAGACGACAGGGTTTTCTAAATATACAATCATATCATCTGCAAACAGGGACAATTTGACTTCCTCTTTTCCTAATTGAATACCCTTTATTTCTTTCTCTTGCCTGATTGCCCTGGCCAGAACTTCCAACACTATGTTGAATAGGAGTGGTGAGAGAGGGCATCCCCGTCTTGGGCCAGTTTTCAAAGGGAATGCTTCCAGTTTTTGCCCATTCAGTATTATATTGGCTGTGGGTTTGACATGAATAGCTCTTATTATTTTGAGATATGTTCCATCAATACCTAGTTTATTAAGAGTTGTTAGCATGAAGGGCTGTTCAATTTTGTCAAAGGCCTTTTCTGTATCTATCGAGATAGTCACATGGTTTCTGTCATTGGTTCTGTTTATGCGATGGATTACGTTTATAGATTTGGGTATGTTGAACCAGTCTTGCATCCCAGGGATGAAGCCCACTTCATCTTGGTGGATAAGCTTTTTGATGTGCCGCTGGATTTGGTTTGCCAGTATTTTATTGAGGATTTTTGCATCGATGTTCATCAGGGATATTGGTCTAAAATTCTCTTTTTTTGTTGTGTCTCTGCCAGGCTTTTTTATGATGCTGGTCTCATAAAATGAGTTGGGGAGAATTCCCTCTTCTTCTATTGATTGGAATAGTTTCAGAAGGAATGATACCAGCTCCTCCTGTACCTCTGGTAGAATCCGGCTGTGAATCCATCTGGTCCTGGACTTTTTTTGGTTGGTAAGCTATTAATTATTGCCTCAATTTCAGAGCCTGGTATTGGTCTATTCAGAGATTCAACTTCTTCCTGTTTTAGTCTTGGGAGGGTGTATGTGTCGAGGAATTTATCCTTTTCTTCTAGATTTTCTAGTTTATTTGCATAGAGGTGTTTATAGTATTCTCTGATGGTAGATTGTATTTCTGTGGGATTGGTGGTGATATCCCCTCTGTTATTTTTTATTGCGTCTATTTGATTCTTCTCTCTTTTCTTCTTTACTAGTCTTGCTAGCTGTCTATCAATTTTGTTGATCTTTTCAAAAAACCAGTTCCTGGATTCATTGATTTTTTGAAGGGTTTTTTGAGTCTCTATTTCCTTCAGTTCTGCTCTGATCTTAGTTATTTCTTGCCTTCTGCTAGCTTTTGAATGTGTTTGCTCTTGCTTCTCTAGTTCTTTTAATTGTGATGTTAGGGTGTCAATTTTAGATCATTCCTGCTTTCTCTTGTGGGCATTTAGTGCTATAAATTTCCCTCTATGCACTGCTTTGAATGTGTCCCAGAGATTCTGGTATGTTGTGTCTTTTTTCTCATTGGTTTCAAAGAACATCTTTATTTCTGCCTTCATTTCGTTATGTACCCAGTAGTCATTCAGGAGCAGGTTGTTCAGTTTCCATGTAGTTTAGCGGTTTTGAGTGAGATTCTTAATCCTGAGTTCTAGTTTGATTGCACTGTGGTCTGAGAGACAGTTTGTTATAATTTCTGTTCTTTTACATTTGCTGAGGAGTGCTTTACTTCCAAGTATGTGGTCAATTTTGGAATAGGTGTGGTGTGGTGCTGAAAAAAATGTATATTCTGTTGATTTGGGGTGGAGAGTTCTGTAGATGTCTATTAGATCTGCTTGGTGCAGAGCTGAGTTCAATTCCTGGATATCCTTGTTAACTTTCTGTCTCGTTGATCTGTCTAATGTTGACAGTGGGGTGTTAAAGTCTCCCATTATTATTGTGTAGGAGTCTAAGTCTCTTTTTAGGTCACTAAGGACTTGCTTTATGAATCTGGATGCTGCTGTATTGGGTGCATATATATTTAGGATAGTTAGTTCTTCTTGTTGAATTGATCCCTTTACGATTATGTAATGGTCTTCTTTGTCTCTTTTGATCTTTGTTGGTTTAAAGTCTGTTTTATCAGAGACTAGGATTGCAACCCCTGCCTTTTTTTGTCTTCCATTTTCTTGGTAGATCTTCCTCCATCCCTTTATTTTGAGCCTATGTGTGTCTCTGCACGTGCTGAATACAGCACACTGATGGGTCTTGACTCTTTATCCAATTTGCCAGTCTGTGCCTTTTAATTGGAGCATTTAGCCCATTTACATGTAAGGTTAGTATTGTTATGTGTGAATTTGATCCTGTCATTATGATGTTAGCTGGTTATTTTGCTTGTTAGTTGATGCGGTTCCTTCCTAGCCTTGATGGTCTTTACAATTTGTCATGTTTTTGCAGTGGCTGGTACCAGTTGTTCTTTTCCATGTTTAGTACTTCCTTCAGGAGCTCTTTTAGGGCAGGCCTGGTAGTGACAACATCTCTCAGCCTTTGCTTGTCTGTAACGTATTTTATTTCTCCTTCACTCATGAAGCTTAGTTTGGCTGGATATGAAATTCTGGGTTGAAAACTCTTTTCTTTAAGAGTGTTGAATATTGGCCCCCACTCTCTTCTGGCTTGTAGATCAGCTGTTAGTCTGAGGGGCTTCCCTTTGTGGGTAACCCAGCCTTTCTCTCTGGCTGCCTTAAACATTTTTTCCTTCTTTTCAATCTTGGTGAATCTGACAATCATGTGTCTTGGGGTTGCTCTTCTAGAGGGGTATCTTTGTGGTGTTCTCTGTATTTCCTGAATTTGAATGTTGGCCTGCTTTGCTAGGTTGAAGAAGTTCTCCTGGTTAATTTCCTGAAGAGTTTTTTTCCAACTTGATTCCATTCTCCCTGTCACTTTCCTGTTCACCAATCAAATGTAGATTTTTGTCTTTTCACATAGTCCCATATTTCTTGGAGGCTTTGTTCATTTCTTTTTATTCTTTATTCTCCAACCTTGTCTTCTCACTTTATTTCATTAATTTGATCTTCAGTCACTGATACCCTTTCTTCCACTTGATCGAACCGGCTAATGAATCTTGTGCATATATCACGAAGTTCTCGTGCTGTGGTTTTCAGCTCCATCACGCCATTTAAGGTCTTCTCTACACTGTTTATTCTAGTTAGCCATTCATCTAACGTTTTTCATGGTTTTTAGCCTCCTTGCAATGGGTTAAAACATGGTCCTTTAGCTCAGAGAAGTTTGTTATTACTGGCCTTCTGAAGCCTACTTCTGTCAACTTGTCAAAGTCATTCTCTGTCCAGCTTTGTTTCATTGCTAGCAAGGAGCTGCAATCCTTTAGGGGAGAAGAGGTGCTATCGTTCTTAGAATTTTCAGCTTTTCTGCTCTGGTTTCTCCCCATCTTTGTTGTTTTATCTACCTTTGGTCTTTGATGATGGTGACCTACAAATGGAGTTTTGTTGTGGATGTCCTATTTGTTGATGTTGATGTTATTCCTTTCTGTCTGTTAGTTTTCCTTCTAACAGTCATGTCCCTCAGCTGCAGGTCTGTTGGAGTTTGCTGGAGGTCCACCCCAGACCCTGTTTGCCTGGATATCACCAGCGGAGGCTGCAGAACAGCAAATATTGCAGAACAGCAACTAATGCTGAATGATCCTTCCTCTGGAAGCTTCGTCCCAGAGGGGCAACCACCTAGGTGAGGTGTCTGTCGGCCCCTACTGGGAGGTGTCTCCCAGTTAGGCTACACGGTGGTAAGGGACCCACTTGAGGAGGCTGTCTGTCCATTCTCAGACCTCAAATGCCGTGCTAACCACTGCTCTCCTCAGAGCTGTGAGACAGGGACGTTTAAGTCTGCAGAAGTTGTCTGCTGCATTTTGTTCAGCTATGCCCTGCCCACAGAGATGGAGTCTATAGGGGTAGTAGGCCTTGCTGAGCTGTGGTGGGTTCTGCCCAGTTCAAGCTTCCCGGCAGCTTTGTTTACCTACTCAAACCTCAGCAATGTCTGACGCCCCTCCCCCAGCCAGGCTGCTGCCTCAAAGTTCAATCTCAGACTGCTCCACTAGCAGTGAGCACGGCTCTGTGGGTGTGGGACCCACCGAGCCAGGCATGGGAGAGAATCTCCCTGTCTGCCAGTTGCTAAGACCTTGGGAAAAGTGCGGTATTTGGGTAGGAGTGTTTTTCTAGGTAGAGTCTGTCACAGCTTCCCTTGGCTAGGAAAGGGAAATCCCCCGACCCCTTGTGCTTCCCAGGTGAGGCGACACTACACCCTGCTTCAGCTCGCCCTCCATGGGCTGCACCCACTGTCCAACCAGTCCCAGTGAGATGAACCAGATACTTCAGTTGGAAATGCAGAAATCGCCCATCTTCTGTGTCGATCACGTTGGGAGCTGCAGACTGGAGCTGTTCCTATTTGGCCATCTTGGAATGGAGCCAAAAAGAATTCTTATACAGACCTTGTGAAAAGTAACTCATCTTTTAAGCCTCCCCACATAAGGTAGACACTTCTTCACAACTTGCTACTCTTTGTTCAATGCAGTAAATAAGTAACTGACTTAACTACTACCCTGGGTCTTAAATTCCTTATAAGGGGTCCTGTTCCCCTCCCCAAAAAAAAAAGAAAAGTTTGTATCATGCTTTTCTCCTGTTAATCTATGTTATGTCAATTTCATCCTCAGACCCAGCTCAGACCTTAAGAGGATGGAGGTGAAATTTTTCTTCCTGTACACCATTTAATACCAGCAAAACTCTCAGAACAAGTCTGTTCTCTCTTTATAAAGATTAGGAAAACTTGAGGTTGTAAAAGTTAAGTAACACAAATCTAAATGCCATAACCTAGACCTATCTTTTTCAAAACTAGTGTTACGTGCTACATATACTGGAGCTGCATTTATACACAAAAAAAATTCAAATTGTCAAATAAAACATACACAAATCAGATATCTTCCACACTATCAAATTTTGTTCATTTCAAAAAGATAAGCAGTAAGGAAGCTAATACACAGCAGATTACATCAGACAGTTGCATAGTTTATACGACAATTTGCAGCAAGCTCTCCACATAAATCCATAGGTTTGTTTACTATAAACAATCTTAAATAATTAAGTACATCCTCGTAAGGCATTCCACAGATAAGAACTTCTGCTAGTGTAATAAATATCATGAGCTTTGCCAGGATGTCTTACATTAGCATGTTTTAAGTAGATTAGACCAGGTAACCTGCCTTCTATTTTTCTAAGGGTGACACATTCCCCAATCCAACTCAGCAAGACAATGGGTTCGAGATCTGCTATGTTAATCCTTTAATTCCCTTGGGTAGTTCTAGTTTCTTCCCTCTAAATTTTTTCTCTCCAATTCTATTTATGGTTACATAAACTTGGCTACAGAGCTATGAACTGCTACACAAACGTAAATGTTTCCAAACACTGGTGGAAAATTGTAAGTTTACACAGTAGCTGACACAGCTATTTTATAAACTAATTATTCACCCCCACCAATTTTTTAAAAAAATTTTCAGTTTAAGGACATACTAAAAAGAGAAAGAAAGCCATTTCATGATCGTCTTCTCAGAGCAGAGCCAGAAGCTTCAAAATAAAATTTAAGGTCTCCGAAAATTTCACTGTAGCAACGAATCTAAGCAAAGCTATTCACAACTGGTATTTTTAGTGACCTGGAAAGGGAGGTGAAGAAAAGACTGCAGAAATAATACAAATGAAAAAAGAAAGACATAAAAAAAGTAAATCACTTTCTTTCAGTGCAACTAGATTCACTCAGATGGGGTCTCCAGACTTACATAAATTACTTTTCCTCATTGGCCATCATGGAGAGGTTAAGAATCTCCAGAGAGAATTAAGATGCTCTCAACTGAGACTGCATGAAGTCTACAGCTTCATTTCATCCAGCCTTGAGAGTCACTGCTGCTATATTCCAGAAAATTAATTTTCCACCTAGTGATTTCCTTTGGTTTTCCCATAATGGAAAATTTTAAAGCCTACAGAACCCAGAATTTAAAGAGCTGTAGGCAGTGTTCAGTCAACTAGTTCTAACACAGCCCAAGATACCCTAAAATTAAAAGCATAAGAATGAGGTTACTTGAAACTGTGAGGGTGAAGGAACCATTTGAGGAAGAATATGTAAAGAGAAAGTCAATGGGCTAAAATAAATCTTGATTAATACTTTCATTTAGGGGATGAAAAGAGTAAAAAAGTCTAACATATATTCAACTTTTAAAGTGTGTGTGTGTGTGTGTGTGTGTGTGTGTGTTTTCAAAAAGATCACCACAGAGGAGCTGAGGTTGTGGAGCAAAGGAAGGTAAACATGTTCAACAGTGTTATATTTCAGAAATGTCCAGGCAGATATGGACTAAAGAGAAAAAAATTAAATGTGACCATTTGTTCACTAGTGACAACAGAGAGACTTCATTAGAGTAACAGGAGAGAGAAATCAAAGTTGCCAGAAGATCAGGAGTGAGTGGATGGTCAGCACTGATGCCAAAGCATATCGATGAATCTTTTGAAGAATATTTCTGTGAAAGGGCAGAAATCATTTTTAATTTATCTTACTGATATTTTATTGCCCTTGATATATACTGTAAATGATATCTAACTTGCAAATTCTATTTTCTCCTTTGTAACTATTTATTAAAAAGCTAATTTTTTTCTAAAATATATATGGAATTAAAGAACGGCAGCTTTTCAACAAGCTACAATTAGTCCCTTGACTTGCACTTTTTTCAACCACACTGGTCTATTTCTAGTTTAATGAAACTAATTTACTTGTTGGAGGTACACAGGGATTTCACAGACCCTTTCACCTATCCATGCTATACCCAAGCTTTGACTAAAGGAATTCAGTATCCTATTACTCTTGAGAATTATCATTATTTTTTAATTACAAAGGAGAAGAATGTAGTTATTTTAGCTGATAATTTAAAACTCAAATTAACTTCATCTAATTCTTACTTGAATTTTATTCAGAAAATAATTATTTTATCCTGTATGAGAAACAAAATCTGGACTAGGAAGGTGATATAGTTTATGATGTCCTTGATTTAAACATGGAAACTAAGATAAAAGCAATGAAATGGGAAGATAAGTTTAGAGCCAGTGGAAAGGATAATTGAAAAGCTATGGATTACTGGAGGAGACTGCTGTTATTCAAACCAGACAGGAGTATAGTCTCAATCAACACTGTAACAGTAGAAAAAGAGGTAATGCTGATAGCCATTATAAAGGAAAAGTGTCAGGGGGTTCAGCAATAGATTAGATAAAAAGACAAAAGAACAGCCATAGGATTATAGGATACATATTAAGGCATCTTGACCTATGAAAAGGACCAACTTTATGACTAATCATAGCACTTCAATCTGATGCTTTAATTAAAATTTTATTCAAAATAAATGATTAGTCAAAAAATGAAACTTTCTAGTTCTACACCAATCCTACTTTTAGAGAGTTTTTATGTTCTCACATTTTCTATGTTAGAAAACATTGAGTATTTTTTATATTATTCTGTGAGTGTGTGTGTATGTGTGTATACAGATATTCACAGTTTATATACACACAAATATATATATATAGATTTAAACACAGAAATTTTTGAACCTATATATGTATATTTTTAACATAGAAATTTTGAACCCATATATATGTGTATATGTATATGTATATACACACACACATTTTACAGCAGTGTATAATAAATCTTTCAGTAACAACAGTCCTTGTGCTTGGCAAGCATAGAAAACTTAATGTTTTTCTTGAGCTTCAAACACCATTAACTGATCAAAAATAAAGAACTATACTAGTTAAAGAAGTCTGCATGATTTCTATAACTGACGATATTATAGTCTGAATACCTTCCCTGACACACAAATTCAGAAGCCATGTACTGACATGGTGGCGCTACAAGATAGAAGGAACCTGGGTTCCTCAGTCACCATGTGAAGGATAGCTTCCACCCTGACCCATATGGGGCTTAGCACGAATAATAAATTAGCATTTGTTGCACTAAGTTAATGAGCATTTGGGGTTTGTACTATAGTAAAGCCTAGCCCAATCCAACTAAATAAAAATGGACAGTGCTCTAGATAAGTTGAAAAGAAAAGTCTACCCTGAAAATTCTCAGCCACAGAACTGTGCTATAAGGGCTTAGGATTCAAACTTATGTTGCTAACATTGTTCAGAAAATCCCTAGCTAAGAAATTAACTAAGTTTTCCCTAGTTGAGAGTACTCCTCGGATATATCATCAAAATAGGACAAACACAGTTAGTACTGATAAAAAATAATAATAATAAAAACATTGCAAACATTGGTCCCAAGTCAAAACTATTACAACTACAACATATGAAGAAACAAGCAATTATGAACAAAAGCGGATAATAAAAAGCAAATTATATTCCCAATGATTTCAGTTGGGACTGAAGTCAATTCACTGGGATTCTAATGCTTGGAATGAAAAAATGCAGATGCGATGGTTAATTTCAGTTATGAATTCAACCAAATTAAGGGATACCCAGGTAGTAGGTAAAGCATTATTTATGGGTACATCTGTGAGATCGTTTCCAGAAACATTAGCATTTGAATCAGTGTACTGAGTAAGAAAGATCTGCTGAAAATCAATGTGGGTGGGCACCATGCATTTGACTGAGGGCCTCCGTAGAACAAAAAGGCAGAAGAAAGGCAAACTCACTTTCTCTCTCTACCTCCTGAAGCTGAAAAATCCTTCTTTAGCCTTGGATATCAGTACTCCAGAATCATGGGCCTTCGGACTCTAGGACCTGCCAGCAGTCCCCCAGGTTCTCAGTTTTTCAGCCTCAAACTGAGAGTTACACTATCAGGTTCCCTGGTTCTGAGGCTTTCAAACTTGGACGTGAGCCATGCTACCAGCTTCTCTGGTTCTCCAGTTTGCAGATAGCCTATGGAAATACTTCTCAACCTCCATAATCAAGTGAGCCAATTCCCCTAATAAACACCCTTTTGTCTGTCTATCTGTCCATCTATCTATCCATCCATCTCTCTGTCTCCTGTTGGCTCTCTCTGGAGAATTCTGACTAATGTATCAGAATATAACATAAGTATGCTTTAAATTTTTGAAAGAATAAAAGGTTGAATTCAAAAATTCATAAAACATGAACTGCCTGAAACAAGTGGACAGATTTTTAACTGAAACAAATAATATAAAATTTTAAATAGAAAATACCAATAATATATAAAATGGCAAGTTAAAGGATATCTGAAAAGATTATTCATGAACAGAAAAATAGATTTAAATAAATTAGCTAAGAAGACAAAGAAAGAAAAAGAAATAAAGGCGAGATAAAGAGATACAAAGGATAGATTAATGTATATATTTTTCATTGGAATTTCAGAAGATAGTGGACAGATGAGAAAGAAGCAAGTTTGAAAGAAATGATGAATAAATTTTTCCTGAATTGACAACGAGCATAAATCCTCAAATAGCTCCCAAACAGAAAACCACATTTGAAAAAATCATAGTGAAAATATAGAGTACCAAAGGCAAAAAGAAGATAATAAAGCAGCCAGAGAGAAGGGACAGATGGCATGCAAAGGAATGACAATTAGCCTGATTCCATTCAGTTAAGTATAGATAATAATATTTTCTGAATAATCTCCTATAAACATGGATGAAATGCAAGAATTGTTAACGCTAGAAAATTTATTTATTCAATTCACTACATTCACAAATTTTTTTAAACACTGGATCATTTTACAGGTGCATGTTAAAATGGGACACTTCTGTTTTGCAGAAGCCACAAAAGACAGGAACACAAGAGTATGTCCCATATAATTGCACATTATATCTAATCCACTTGCGCAGAATTTGCAGGGAAAAATGGTAGAAAACTAAAATTTGCAGAAGAAATGGTACAAAACCTACCAGGAGAACCTTAGCTATAAGCTACTATAGGGATATACAAAAGGTAGCTGAAGAGTTGAACAGCTGGTTGGAAAGATTTGTAGAGATTTCTTTACAGAGAGTTGTTGGAGCGCTGTGCACTTCTTCCTGACAACTGCTAGGGAAAGCAGAGAGAGGGTGCTTCAAGTTAAGGGAGATGAAATTCAAGGGAACTGCTTGATACATGTGCTCTTGGGGTTTGGAACACACAGAGAATGAGTTTCTTAAACATACCTGGAAAACATAAACATGAGAAGTTTTAGCTATAGATCCAAAGCAGCAGAGCACAGATAGGCTGGGCTGACTTAAAAGTGGGTGGAACCGGTATGAAATTGTCATAAGTGGGACTCTAACCAAACAGAGAAATAGACTCCTGAAAACAAAAACGGAGAGTCAGAGTCATAAATGTCAAATTGAAGGTGATATAGCCTATGACATAGGAACTGGAGTTATGTTCCAACAGGGAAAATTTCTGGATATCCCAGAAATAATCACTAGGGAAAAAAGCAGGTTTGAATGTCTGTCAAGCCCACAAATTTCTAACACGAGAGCAAGAGAATACTAGCTATTTAAACCTATTCTCTTTTTCACCGAAATCTCTTTCTTCTAGACCTGACTTTGGAGGGTTTACAACAGCTAGTGACCAGCGAAGGAGGCTGAGTTCCAAGGAACAAAGCTGACCATGCTCCTTGCCCTACTTTAAGCTTCTATTCCAAAAACAAAACCAAATGGGAGAAAACTCTGGGAATTGGGAAAAAAAACTGGGCTGGAAAAGTTTGGATTTCAGATTAGCCGCACATAGATGGTTTCACTACTAAAATGAGACTGTATCTGGGCTTAGAAGAGACTGAAGGCTCCTCCTCTAATCCCCCACCTTTTACTTCCACTTTTTAAAACTAGTAGTGACAGGAAATGCCTGTCTACATTACACTTCATCCAAGAATCTGGAAAAGAACTAGGGCATTAAGCAGGTATGAAGTCAAAGGAGAGAGATGAAATTAAAGTTGTTTTTATCACACTTTATCTAGTCCTGCTTCTTCTATGGTTATAATCTCCACGTATATAGACAAAGCATTCTATAAAACTGAATACCCATTCATGCCACGTGAATAAATCTTTCAGTAAACTATGAATAGAAGGATATTTTCTTCCCTGAAAAAGAATATCTACCAATTACACAAGGGAAAACTCATACTGAATGTTAACCCCCGTCATTGATTATTCAATGTGGTACAGAAGGTGGTCCTAGTTCAATGAGTTAAAAAAAAAAAAAGTAAAATACTTTATAGTCATGCACCAGATAACAATGTTTCAATCAGAAACAAATCATATACACCACAATGGTCCCATAACATTATAATGAAAAATTCCTATCACTTAGTAATGCTGTAAGGCATTATAGTGCCATAGTGTAATGCACTACTCATGTGTCTATGGTGATGCCGGTGTAAACACACCTAATGCCCTGCCAGTCAAATAAAATTATAGCACATACAATTATGTTCAGTAGGTAATACTTGATAGTGATAATAGTAAGTGACTATATTACTGGTTTATATATTTACTAAACTAACTTTTACAGGGTACTCTTTCTACTTATTATTTTTTAAAGTTAACTGAAAAACAACCTCAGGCAGATCTTTAGGGAAGTATGCCAGAAGAAAGCGTTTTTATCATAGAAAATGACAGCTCCAATGCCTGCTGTTTCCCCTGAAGATCTACCAGTGGGACAAGACGTGGAGGTGGAAGATAGTGATATTAATGATCCTGACCCTGTGTAGGCCTAAGTTAATGTGTGTTTTTGTGTCTTAGTGTTCAACAAAAAATATTTCAAAAATAAAATAAATTGAAAATCTTAAAAATAAAAAGGTTGTAGAATAAGAATATAAAGAAAATATTTTTATATAGCTGTACAATATGTTTGTGTTTAAACTGTTATTACAAAAGAGTCAAAAGGTTAGAAATATTAAAAATTATATAAAGTAAAAAGTTATAGTTAGCTGTTTAATTTATTATTGAATAAAAATATTTTCTATAAATTTAGTATAACGTTAAGTGTACACTGTTTATAAAGTCCACAGTAGTGTACAGTAAAGACCTAGGACTTTATATTCACTCACTGCTCACTCATGGATCACCTGGAACAACATTTGGTCCTATAAGCCCCATTCATGGTAAGTGCCCTCCCTATACAGGTGTACCATTTTTTATCTTCTATACCATATTTTTACCATACATTTTCTATGTTTAAATGTTTTAATACACAAATATTACCATTATATTACAATTGCCTACAGTACGGTAACATGCTGTACACGTTGTGGTCTAGGAGCAACATGCTACAGCATATAGCCTAGGTGTGTAATCGGCTAAACTAGGTTTACATAAGTACAAGCTATGATGTTCACACATGGACAAAATTGCCTAACAACAAATTTCTTTGAGCATATCCTGGATGTATTCGTCAGGGTCCTCTAGAGGGACAGGACTAATAGCATAGATTTATCTATGAAGGGAGATTTATGGAGGATTATTGACTCACATGTCACAAAGTGAAGTCCCACGATAGGCCATCTGCAAGCTAAGGAACGAGGAAGCCAGTCCAAGTCCCAAAACCTCAAAAGTACGGAAGCTGACAGTACAGCCTTCAGTCTGTGGCCAAAGGCCTGAGATCCCCTGGCAAACCACTGGTGTAAGTCCAAGAGTCCAAAAGCTGAAGAACTTGGAGTCCGATGTTCGGGGCAGGAAGCATCCAGCCCAGGAGAAAGATGAAGCCTGGAAGACTCAGCAAGTCTAACCCTTCCACTTTCCTCTGCCTGCTGTTATCCTAGCCATGCTGGCAGCTGATTAGATGGAGCCCACACAGATTGAGGGTGGGCCTGCCTCTCTCCCAGTCCACTGACTGAAATGTTAATCTCCTTTGGCAACACCCTCACAGACACACCCAGGAACTTTGCATCCTTCAATCCAATCAAGTTGACACCCAATATTAACCATCACACTGGACATTATGAGATGCATGACTGTATAATGATTAGAAATAAAAAACAAAATTTGAAGGTAATGATGACCTCTATAAGAAATGTAGAAAAGAACTCTATAAATCATTTAAATGAATGAGTTCAACAAGTATGTCAGATATAAGTATACTAAAGTCAATTATATTCCTATTGTAAACAACAAACAGAAAATATAACTTTAGAAAGAAACCATTTACACCAGCCTGGGCAACATAGCAAGACACCATCTCTTAAAAAAAAATTAATTAGTTGGGGCATGGTGGCACATACCTGTAGTCCCAACTACTTGGGAGGCTGAGGCAGAAGAACTGATCAAACCCAGGAGTTTGAGGCTACAGTGAGCTATGGTAGGTACTCATTAAATGTTTGAGTCATTTCCAAATAAATTTTTTTAAATGAAACAAATTGCTGAGCATAAATGTAATTTCATGTTGGCTCCTTATATTTCATAGAAACACGAAATATATTTGGGTCTATTAATACACATAAAAAATATGTTCTGTTAAATGTTTCTAAAAATTATAATATTATTCTCATCTAGAAAGTACTGTTATGTGACAGACAGCTCAAAATGTCTTGCTTTCTAGGTGTTAACTGAAAATTAGGTTACCAGGAGTTAAAATTCTAAGTAACATATAGAATTGTGTACAAAGTATACCGAAAAAGTGTTTTTGATCATAAAAATTATAACAATTTGTTTTTTATTGAGAAAAATACTTTTGTCTAATTTGCAGGTTATTTACAAGTTATTTTAAAATATGTATTTAGAAAAAAATAGAAACAAGATAAAAAGAAACTAGTTAAAAAAAAAAAAAGGAACCAGTAAGTAGGAGAGAGATGTGAAGAAAGTTACAGGTACAGAGGTGTATTTTTGGTAAGAAAGATTTTCTATAAAAAATGCAGTAAATTTTTGTCCTAACGTAAAAGGACTGGTTATTTAGGAAGGAGAAAATATAGGAGAAATGAGAAAGTCTAAGCTTGTCATCAAAGGTTATGCAGGTCATATAAGATTTTGAAGGATGAATTTGTAAAAGGAATTTTGTGTGTGATCAAGTTGGCTATAATTAAAAGGGTGTTATTTATGAGTCTTTCTAAAGATTGAGCTTTGATATTAAAAATACACTGATACAAATTTTCTTCTCGATTGCTGATTATAAATTCCAATAGATTTTTAACCATCATTATGTGAAGGATCTAATTAAACTAAAGAGCTTCTGCACAGCAAAAGAAACTATCAGCAGAGTCAACAGAAAACCTACAGAATGGGAGAAAATTTTTGCCAACTATGCATCTGACAATGATATACTATCCAGCAACTATAAGGAACTTAAATTTACAAGAAAAAACTAACAACCTCATTAAAAAGTGGGCAAACGACATGCACAGACACTTTTCAAAAAAAGACATACATGCAGCCAACAAGCATGTGAAAACAAGCTCAACATTATAATCATTAGAGAAAGGCAAATCAAAACCACAATGAGATGCCATCTCTCACCAGTCAGAATGGCTATTATTAAAAAGTCAAAAAATAACAGATGCTGGCAAGATTGTGGAGAAAAAGAAACACTTATACACTGTTGGTGGGAGTGTAAATTAGTTCAGTCATTGTGGAAGACAGTGTGGTGATTCATCAAAGACCTAAACACAGAACTACCATTGAACCCAGCAATCTCATTACAGGGTATATACCCAAAGGAATATAATTCAGTATATTATACAGACACATGCACACATATGTTCATTGCAGTACTATTCACAATAGCAAAGACATAAATCAACCTAAATGCCCATCATCAATGTGATAAAAGAAAATCTTTAGCCAAATTAAATTTAAAGCAGTTTAATTGAGCAATGAATGATTCCTGAATTGGGCAGCCTTCCCAGCCAGAGTAGGCTCAGAGACTCCAGTCCAGCCACGTGGTGGAAGATTTATGGACAGAAAAAGGAAAGTGACTTATGGAAAATGGAAATGAGGTACAGAGACAGCTGGATTGCTTACAACTCAGCATTTACCTTATTTGAACACAGTTCTAACAGTTGACTACATTTGATTGGCCAAAACTTGGTAATTGGCACAAGTGTAGGCTATGGTCTGTTTACACTTCCACTAGTTGTAGATCACAATGTAAAGAAAAACCTTTATGCCAAACTTAAAATATGTAAGGAGGCAGTTTTAGGCTAAACTTGATTTAACAAATGGTAGACTGGATAAAGGAGGTGTAGTACATATACACCATGGAATACTGCACAGCCATAAAAATGAGATCGTGTTCTTTGCAGGAACATGGATGGAGTTCGAGGCCATTATCCTTAGCAAACAAAAGCAAGAACAGAAAACCAAGCACCACATGTTCTTACTAATAAGTGGGAGCTAAATGATGGTAACACACGAACACATAGAGGGGAAAAACACACACTGGGGTCTATCTGAGGGTGAAGATTCGGAGGAGGGAGAGGATCAGGAAAAATAATTAATGGGTACTAGGATCAATACCTAAGTAATAAAATAATCTGTACAACAAACCCTCATTACATAAGTTTACCTATACAATAAACCTGCATATGTACCCCAAACTTAAAAGTTAAATTAAAAAGTAAAAATAAAACATTATTTACTGTTTTCCAGATTGATGATAATTTTTTTCTTTTAAGCTATTTATTGTTTAAAACAATTTAGTAAAGTATATTTTTTGAACAAAGGTTAAAACATTTTTTCTCCCTACCTGACCCCTACAAAATTCAAAAACTATTCATGAGTACTTCTATTTTTACAGCAATGTAATTATTTGCATATAAGATCAATAAAAATTTGTTCCCTATTTATCACAGGATAAAATTGAAAACATTGTTTTTATTACCATGGCTTCAACTGGAATATTGTATTTGAGAATGTGCATAAAATGGCTGGTTTCAAGGGTTCCCAGCCTTACAGTGAGGGAGTAAAAATTATTACTTCCTGTCAGGTTCAGGAATCTTAAGTCTACAGGAAAAATCTAAACTCTGCCTTGGTTTGGCTTCATAACCCCAAGAGGTTTTTAAATCTGAGATTCCTATGTGATCGATGTAGAAATAAAAAGTTACATTTCTAAAGAAAAGCTAAAACACATCTGTTATTAGACTGTAGTTCTGTGAATTTTTTTAAGTTCTTATTATCTACCTATAGACTAGACTAGATTCTAAATTATTCTACATTCCTTAAATCCAACATTCTTCCACAGAATTCTAAAAACAGGTACTGCTGTCTTCCTAAAGCCCTATAAGCTGAAACTAGATTAATATTAAGGAACAAATCTCATGCCTGATGTAGGGGCCATACAAAAAGTTCACCAAGCCATCCAATACCATAACAAGAAACATTCCAGCTACAAACCAGGATAAGAAGTTAACATTTTCATGCTGTAGACAGCTTTGCCCAAGGCATTAGAACAAGACTCCACAATATAATGAGACCCTTATCACTTTTAATGCCTACTTCTTTTTACTTGACAGGATAATGGTCATTTGATTTATTCATTTGGTTGCCTTTAAGCCTAGGTTCATGGCTCCAAACTATTATGCAAACTGGGATTGTCATATTACCATTAATTTTACTTTATATTTTTTAAATTTTGCTTCTTTTTAAATTTTTACAGAAGTATAAATCTTAACAGAATAATGATGGCCCAGTACATTGAGATGATAGCAAAATACTATAAAACAGATGAAACTAAGCTTAATAATTGACTCCAGGTTGACTTAGCCTGACAGTCACTCCCTTCAACCTTCCCTTGTTGCTCAAATGTGGCTAAAAGGGTTTTGATACCAACTTCTATTTGGCTATCACTCCCTCCAACATAGGACCAGACCGGCAACCTGGGACACATCCATCTTGGCACTGTGTAATACTCAAAACTCCAACTACAGGATGATTGATCATCAATGCTTTCAGAAAAAAAGACCTCAATCAAAAGAAGAAAATGTGAAGGTTTTTGGAATCAAAATGGAATACTTATGATAAAAAAAATTAAAAAGCTCTGACAAATAGAGCCAAGGAAGGCCATGAAGAGAAGATTCTCATACATGAATGCCTCATAACAAAAACTACCACAAAAGACTCTGATTGCACAAAGGCAATCACAACCTTACATAGAAAACTACTTCTGTGGAAACATCTGCCCAGCAAATGGCTGTCCAATCCCAGACTGATGGCATCCTTGTTATTAATCCTTGAGGCCAAGGATAATTATCTCAACACAATTGTGTAATTCTCTTCATTTTTTCTTTAACATCTGTCTTCCTTTACTTTCCTAAATACACCCATAGTTTACTATGGCACACATATTCCCATTGCAATGCCCTAATCCTGAATAAGTATCATTTTCCATTAGAGAGACTCTCTGTTGTTAATTAGGTTGACAAAGTTTATACATTTGAGTATATTCAAAATTAAAACGTCTACTCATCAAAAGATACTGAAAATCAGACCTCAGAGGAGGAGGCCTAATTAACTACTCCAGTTGTCTGCAAATCAGAAAGGATCCTATGAAATTAAGATCCAGATCCTGAGATGAGGAGTGCTGAAGGCTAGTGCCTAGCATCTAAGGAGGTAGCAATAAGGCTGGTTCTAGAAGTGTAAAAACTGCAAACTGGATCCAGCCACTGCTAATAGAAGAAACTGTTGCTACTGGGGCAAAGGAGAGCTGCCAAGCTAAGGTTCACTAACAAGAAAAAGAAACAAACGAGGAACAGGAAGCAAACAAAAAACAATTCCCTTCTTTCTTTAACCTTCCAGCCTCCCTCTAATGTCTCTATTGGTAAAGCCTAGTTAGGAATCATCTGGCAAAGCAAAACTGTGGCTTGTAGAGTCTCAGTCCCAGCATCGTACAACAGAGTGTAGGAGAATGAGAGTGAAGTGGAGAGACGATCATTGAATAACCAGTATACTATTTATTTAAGATTTAAAACCTGCCAAACAAAGCTTTTATTTCATATACATGTAGTAAAAGTAAAAAGAAATGCATGAGGACAAGAAATACAAAATTCAAACAGAGACTACCTTTGGTGGCAATAGAGAAGATGTGATCTAAAAGAGCCACACAGAGTTCTTCAATTGTCCCTTTCAAGTTTTATTTTCAAGCTGCACAGTGCTTTTGAAAGTATTGATTATAGTATTCTCTAGGCATTTTGGGTGTCTGGAATACTTCATTAAAAAACCAGCCACGGAATGAAAAGAAGGAAAACAAGAGAAGTATACACATTTATATACAATTTACTGTGAGACACCATCTTGTCTCATGAGGAGTGTTTTGTTTACATGGTAAGGTCAAGATAAAAGTTTCTACCTCATGGTAACAACTGAAATATAGGTTCAGATCATGTGAGTGTTTTGACCTGGTACTAAATGGCAGGATTTCATATCTCCTCCAGATTGACACTTGCCCCTGGGAAGAAGGGCAAATGGTCCGTGAAGTCCCCATCTGCCTGTCTGAAGAACATCTGTAGTGAAGTGGGCTGTCCTAAATTATGTGGCAGTAATGCTACTAAAGGTAAAATTATCCCACCTCAGTAATAATAGTTATTGGCAGAAGAATGCTTTGAAAAGACATTTGTTTCAGGTTGTTTAAAAATGGAGCCTTAACACTCATTGAAATTTTGTATTCGACACTTGTAACTTTTATCTGACATTGTACAGATTTATTTGACAACCTATTTAGTTGTTGACAAGTCTGTTCTGCTTCCTTGTAAGTGTATTTTAAAGGTTTATGTTGAACATATTTTGTATAAATCTCATAATGATGGAAAAACAATAGGAAAACTGAGTGCATCTCAAAATATGCTCGTCTTCATAAGGCAGCTTGGAACATGAATACTAATACAATTTTTAATGTTTTTATTAAAAATCAATTCAGACTCATAGAATAAAAATTTATTGAACAACTAATATGTTCAATTCTCAAACCAAGCTTTGGGAGAGAGATGCCTCCCAACACCCACTGATCACCAAGAAAGGATAATGATGGCTTCCAAACAGTTTAATTCCATCCGCTTCTACCCATTTTCACTGCCTATAATTTAATAAAATCTCACCATCTTCTTTACCTTCAACTGCTGCCTCAGACTTACTATAGACGGTGCCTAGTATATAATTGATTCTTTAAAATATTAGTTTAAATAAATAAATGAATGAATTTTGAATGTCTCAAAGTTGTTAAATCCAGAAATGCTGAGGCACAGAATGAAGACTAGAAAGTGAGAGTAGGCCGGGTGCAATGGCTCACGCCTGTAATCCCAGCACTTTGGGAGGCCAAGGCAGGCGGATCATGAGGTCAGGAGTTCGAGACCAGCCTGAACAACATGGTAAAACCCCGTCTCTACCAAAAATACAAAAATTAGCTGGGCATGGCGGCACGCACTTGTAATCCCAGCTACTCAGGAGGCTGAGACAGGAGAATCGCTTGAACCCGGGAGGCAGAGGTTATAGTGAGCCGAAATAGCGCCACTACACTCCAGCCTAGGCAACAGAGTGAGACTCCGTCTCAAAAAAAAAGAAAGCGAGAGTACTAGGTGGTGGCCTAGAGGAAGAGCAGAAAAGGTGGGAGAGTATATAAAGCAGAAGGGATGGAAAGTTCTCATGTTATATTTAGCTCAGTAAGTCTCCTAATGTTCTTACTGTAGAAACAGCAGTAAGTTTTTAAGAATTACTCCCAGTGATATGTTATCCACAATTTTCAAATTATAAAAATGACTGAGATATCTCAAATTATATATGGAATTTTGTAGGAAAATTGTAAAAAAGATAAGCCTTTCAATGCACAATTCACTAAATCAAATTATCAAAGTTCTTAAAGGGTACTTCATGAAATTTTATTTTTATTTGTTTTATTCATTTCTTTTTATCTTTCCACTTACGTAATATCACGTCAGTCACATAGGAGATATTTAATAAATATTGCTGATTCAAATGTTATTTGATAACATTTACACACTGACTCAGATATTTTTGTTCAAAAATTATTTTGTCACCCTTCATCATAACAACTTCAATATTTTGATGAAAAAATAACTTTTTATGTTTATACATATAGCTTTCTTTCAACTAGGATTTGATTCAGCAATCATGCTTGGATTCTAAGTATTTCATGGAATGCAATGATTTAAGAACTTGGTAATTGGTACAAGTAATGGTCTTTCATCACCAGCAAATTCGCATTATAAAAATTTTCTCTAGTGACAAAGGATCGTGGTTTTATATCTATTAATCATCAGCAAATTTAGAGTCAGATTTTAAATTATTCTATTTTTTTCCAATTATTCAGCAAAGGTAAACCTAAGAAATTTTTGTTAGGTTAAGACAGTATTTCAGTACACAACCAAATTATTGACTCTATATTATCTATTTCTAAATTGTTTGGCGACAGGTTTTTAGATTTATAGGTGTAGAATACACTTGGCAAAAATTTACTGTAATCCTTTATTTTATACTCTCATATCTTGAATGTACTTGATGCTAGTGGGCCTTTCAACAGTAAAGATGGAGAAGAATAAAAATCACAATCTGCAATATTAAATTACTACTGGGTACACTGTCAGACATTCACTCCAGTCCTAAATCTGCTACTTAGTAGCAACAAAAACCCAAATAAAGAACTTAACTTTCCAGAGTTTCAGCTTACCTTTCTACATAAGAATAGAAATATCTGGTCTACAAGACTCAGAGGAATAGGTAAGATGTTATGCATGAAGTCTGGGTAAAATGCATAACACTGCTTGCATTTAATTAGCATTTGAGATCTTATGTAAAGAACAGAAAAAGAAGTATTAAACCAACAGAAGAAAAAGGTACTTTGTACTGAACAGCATTAGTAGTCCCATAATAGACCTCCCTAGCTCCTAGCCCAGTGGTCATCATACATTAAATGAATATGTGTTCAATTAATTAATTAAGCAGAAGAAGCATACGTGATCATATAGTAATAACAAGAGAAAACCTAAGACATGAAGAACACTGAAAGAGAAGAAGGTACCATGTGGAGTATGTTTAGATTCCAGGAAACCCCTCTGTATCCTAAATACATCAATGGTCATATAGAATAGCAAGGCATGGCATAGAGGTAAACATGTATTGTGAGATGTAATAAATACTATCACTATGGGTGAGGAGCTCTAGGCTGAGGTATTCTATGTTCTTTTTTTTTTGAGACAGAGTCTCGCTCGGTTGCCCAGGCTGCAGTGCAGTGGCGTGCTCTCGGCTCACTGCAAGTTCCACCTCCTGGGTTCATACCATTCTCCTGCCTCAGCCTCCCAGATAGCTGCTGGGACTACAGGCACCCGCCACCATGCCCGGCTAATTTTTTTTTTTTTTTTTTTTTTTTTTTTTTTAACTAGAGACAGGGTTTCACTGTGTTAGCCAGGATGGTCTCGATCTCCTGACCTCATGATCTGCCTGCCTCGGCCTCCCAAAGTGCTGGGATTACAGGCGTGAGCCACGGCGCCCACCTCTATGTTCTTTATCAAAGGCAGAAGCAAGCTATGACTGTAACAGACACTCCTAAACTGACTGCCTGACTTGTTATCATTTCTCCCTTCTTGGTGAAATGCCCCTGATCCACAGGAATGGATATCTAACCCTTTTAAAAGACCCCATGTAAAGCCACAGATAATTAGCCGGCAGTGACCAACGGACCCAAACTAACCAATCAAATTCTCTTTCCCAGGAATTTGTAGCTTTTACCGACAGTCACAGAAACCAGGTGACAATGGAACAAGATTATGTTAATTCCAATGTGATAAAGGGAAGATCCACATATTCAGTCAGTTTCAGAGATCCCTAGCACCTCCCTGGTTGTTCAAATCTTCTTAAGATTCTGTGAGAATGTAATATATAGTGTAAGATATCCAACTGAACGGTGTTGTGCATTCTGCTACCGAGACTGGGCCAAGTTGAGTTGTGAGTTACAATCTCTGCCAAAATGGTGATCCTGGGAGAACTACAGCTCCATGGAGAAGGGGGCCTGAAAAGGAGAAAGAATGGCTTTTGCTGAGACCATTGATAACACTGAAGACAAAGAAAAATTAAAACCTAGGATGGATAAGGAGAAAAATAATAGGCTTCAGTGTCATTACATAGAATAAAAAAAAGCAAATTTTGTATTTTTAGGAGAAATTTCTCATTTTTAATGAAGAAAGAAAGCTTACATTTAAGAAGAAAAAAATATGAATAAGGTTTTAACAGTGCATTTCCTTAACCCTAGGATATCCAGTCCATAAATATTTTTGGGACATCAGATGTGTGGGCAAGGAAGTAGGCTATTGAAACCTCAGATTTCTTTAATTTATGCTTACAAAGTTATATAAGTTTTTTCTTTCATGAGACTCTCAAATATGGAGGACAGTTCATATCTAAAAGTGTTCTAATTAGTAATTTAGACTAATAACAGCCCCTTGTTATTATTATCTAAAAGTCTCAAAATCATGGACTTACACATTGAAGACTACAAAGAGACATCCATGGCAGGAAAGTTGGATTTATTTATCACCAAATGAATTTCTATGAATTAATCCCATTAGAAAAGTCAGGAAATACAAAATTCACAATCCTCCAGAGTTACGTATTGTTAGAGAAGTAACATTTTTAAACAGTTTCTGAAAACAGGATTAGCAGCTAATATCATTAATATTCTAAAAGCAGCCTTCTGAGACTCAGCATAGACAAATCACTGATTTTCACATTTATCTTTCTTGGGACTTCCGTAGTCACTTCAAGCTGTCTTCATGTAATCCACTCATACCAGAGAATGTTTTCAAGGGTATTCTAAATAATTAACCTTCTCACGTTAGAGTTCAAATGTCTTTCTGTGATAAAGGACTTGAACACCTCAAAAGCATAATTACAGGTATACCCTTGAGAGTTGAGCTATATCAAGTTCTCAAAATGAGTATGGATATTAAAACTGATATAGCAGCAATTAGTTATTATGAATTTTCTCTATTACCTAGCCTGTTGGATTGTGTCAGTGAAACATAACTCTGCTTAAAAGAGTTCACATAATTTCTGATTGCCACCCTCAATCCTCAGTCTTGAATTTATTATAGTATTTCAAAGGCAAAGACATCAAAACTACTTTGACTTTCCTTTTTTCCTCCCATTATTGAATCAGTTATGTGTTAACATAATGTCACATCTAAAGTGGACTTCTTTTTTAAGAACGGATTTTTGAAGAGTAAATAATGTGTCAATTAAAAATAATAAAAAGAAAACCTTACAGAATAAGAAATCATTTAACTATGACCAACTTATAAAAGTATGTAGATGGAGTAAGCCTTAAAATAGTAGTTTTACTGTGTAAAGTAGGCAATTTTGAGTATTGCCATCAGGCCAAATACCTAAATACCTAAAAGGCCCATAAAAGTGTCCTCCATAAAAAAGTCATTCTAACCTCAATCTAAAAAGGTAATGTTTTCACCACCAATACTTTAATATGTAGTCTCTAAAATGGAAAGTGAAAACTTTCATATTATTTTCATCAAGAAAATAATCTAGTAATCAGAATTTTTTCTAAAATCTTATTCTACTAGAATCATTAGAAAGATCATTCCAATAAGAGTTGAAACCATTCTGTGAGAATGGTAATTTTAATATCCTCTGCCTCTAGCACTAGTGTATACTACAGTGTGACAGATAAGGTTTTTTAATGATATATTTTATCTGAAGATTTTAGGAAGACAGATCTCTAGTAAGTAATAAACTCTATTTGGAGTTTTTAAACATCTGTTTTAAATCTTTGATTCCAGCAAAGTGATTGTCATACCCCTACTTATGATGGAAAATATATTTGTGTATGTGTGCTCCTTAAACATAAATCATTTCATGTTATAACATGTAACCACTGTTCTCAAAACTTTTCAGTGCCTTCTCATATACTACTAGGTTACATCAAAGGTCTTTGATCATGGTCTAGCCCTTCACTATCATGTTGGCCTCATCTCATTCCTATGGCACCATCTATCCTTTTTCTGGCTTTCTTAGTGTGCTCCAGAGCTATTGCTTATGCTATTTTCTCTTTTTGGCATGTTTTCCTACTTCCTTTATATTTCTGTTTCAATGTCATCATTTTCTTTAAAAAAAATTATTACACATACACATCCCTCTGGTCTATCCTTAGCCTATTTTATTTGCTTACTCATTTGTTTTTAAAACACTTATTATCTCCTGACATGTTTGTTTTTCTATTTTATGTCTTCTACCCATAGACTATATAGTTTTAAAAAAAGTCTTCTTAGTTATTATATGCCCAATGCCTGATGCAATGCCAGGCACTCAATAGTTGTTCAATAATTACTTTAAATAAATAAAAGCAGCTTTTAAAATCAAACACAAATAGTTTTCATGCCTGGTGTTATGGCATTACAATTGTCTAAAATTCTGCTTTACTTTATCTTAATAGGCTTCAACCCACCCATAATAAATTCTTTTTACTATAGATTTTTGTTTTACTTGTAACTCTAATAAAGAAATAAATAGGAGGGAAGGGCCAAGATGGCCAACTAGAAGTAGCTGCGCTCTGCAGCTCCAACTAAGAAGAATGAAAATGGCGAGTGAATACTGCACCTTCAGCTGAGGTATCCAGGTTATCTCTGGGACTGACTAGGTGGTTGGCACGACCCATGGAGAGCAAGGAAAAGCAGGGTGAAGCAACAGCCCACCTAGGAGCCACACAGGGCAAGGGGAGCTCAGCCAAGGGAGGTGGTGAGTGATTGTGCTACTTCACCCAAGAAACCACACTTTTCCCATAGATCTGTACAACCCATCAGGATATCCTCTCATAAGCCCATGCCACTAGGGCCTTGGGTCCCAAGCACAGAGCTGTGCAGATGCTTGGAAGCCACTCAGATTGCAGCAAATGGCAGCAGGCTGGAGGCTGCCTAAGACGACCGAGTCCTTGGGGAAGAGGAGCGGCCACCACCACTATGGCTCCAGTCTGCCATTTTCCCCTACCAGCGCTAAGGAGACTGGGTGGTTTGGAGCAGGAGGAATTCCTCACAGTGCAACACAGTGATTGTGGAAGATTGTGACAAGACTGCTTCTTCAAGTGGGACCTGGATCCATTCCTCCTCACCAAGCAGGGCCTCCCTGCAGGAATTTCAGCAATTATAGACAAGGATTTACAGACAGAACTCTGATCTCCCTGTGATGGAGCCCCTGGGGGGAGGGGTCGCCTCCATTTCAAGAGCTCAGCAGATTTAGTCCTTCCTGCCCACTAGCTCTGAAGAGTCTGGGCAGTACGGATGAGGGGGCTTTCCCCAGTGCAGCACACTGCTCTGCCAAAGGGCAGCCAGAGTGCTTCGTTAAGTGGATCCCTGATCCCATGCCTCCTGAATGGGTAAGACCCCCAGAAAAGGGGTCACCAGACACCTTATACAGGACCATTCCCACTACCACAAGGTCACAAGGTCAGTAACCCTTAGAGGAAGGAAAAGACAGCCATATTTGCTGTTCTGCAGCCTCCACTAGTGATACCTCCAGGTGCGGGAGGGAGCCAGGAAAATAGGGTCTGGAGTGGACCCCCAGCAAACCACAGCAGCCCTACAGAAGAGGGGCCTGCCTGTTAAAAGAAAAGCAAACAAACAGAAAGCAACAACAACAACATCAACAAAAAAGACCCCACACAAAAAACCCATCTAAAGGTCAGCAGCTTCAAAGACTGAAGGCAGATAAGCTTACAAATATAAGAAAGAATCAACACAAAATGCTGAAAACTCAAAAATCCAGAGTTCCTCTTCTCCAAATTATAGCAACACCTCTCCAGCAAGGGCACAGAACAGGGTGGAGGCAGAGATGGATGAACTGACAAAAGTAGGCTTCAGAAAGTGAGTAATAATGAACTTCACTGAGCTAAAGGAGTATGTTCTAACCCAATGCAAAGAAGATAAGAACCATAATAAAATATTATAGGAGTTGTTAACCACAATAACCAGTTTAAAAAGGAACATAAATGACCTGATGGAGCTGAAAAACCCAACACGAGAACTTCACAATGCAACCACAAGTATCAATAGCCGAATAGATCAAGAAAGGAAAGAATCTCAGAGCTTGAAGACTATCTTTCTGAAATAAGACAGGCAGACAAGATTAGAGGAAAAAGGAATGAAAAGAACAAAAGCTTCAAGTACTATGGGATTATGTAAAAAGACCAAACCTATAACTGATTGGGGTACCTGAAAGAGACAGGGAGAACGGAACCAAGTTGGAAAACATACTTCAGGGTATCATCCAGTAGAACTTCCCCAACCTAGCAAGACAGGCCAACATCCAAATTCAGGAAATCCAGAGAACCCCAGTAAGATACTTCATGAGAAGATCACCCTCAAGACACATAATCGCCAGATTCTCCAAGGTGAAAATTAAGGAAAAATGTTAAGGGCAGCCAGAGAGAAAGGCCAAATAAGCTACAAAGGAACACCCATAAGACTTCAGGGTTTCTCAGTGGAAACCCTAAAGCCAGAAGAGATTGGGGGCCAATATTCAACATTCTTAAAGAGAAGAATTTCCATCCCAAAATTTCATATTGGGCCAAACTAAGCTTCGTAACTGAAGGAGAAATAAAATGGTTTTCAGACAATCAAATGCTGAAGGAATTCATTACCATCAGGCCTGTCTTACAAGAGCTCCTGAGGAAGCACTAAATTTGGAAAGGAAAACTATTATCAACCACTACAAAAACACACTGAAGTACACAGACCAATGACACTATGAAGCAACTACATTGACAAGCCTGCAAAATAACCAGCTAGCATCATGATGACAGGATCAAATTCACACATAACAATAAACCAACAAATATCAAACAGACAAAGGGCATTACATAATGGTAAAGGAGTCAATTCAACAAGAAGTGCTAACTATCCTGAATATATATATACTCAATGCAAGAGAACCTAGGTTCATAAAACAATTTCTTAGAGACCTACAAAGAGACTTAGACTCCCACACAATAATAGTAGGAGACTTTAACACCCTACTGTCAATATTAGTCAGATCATGGAGACAAAAAAATTAAGAAAGATATTCAGGACTTGAACACAGCTCTGGATCAAGTGGACCTGATAGATATCTGCAAAACTCTCCACCCATAAACAATAGAATATACATTCTTCTGAGTGCCACATGGCACTTACTCTAAAATCGATCACATAATTAGAAGTAAAACACTCCTCAGTAAATGCGAAAGAACTGAAATGATAACAAACCGTCTCTCAGACTACAGTGCAATCAAATTAGAACTCAAGATTAAGAAACTCATTCAAAACCACACAACTACATGGAAATTGAACAATCTCCTGAATGACTCCTAGGTAAATAATGAAATTAAGGCAGAAGTCAAGAAGTTATTTGAATGGGAACAAAGAAGCAACGTATCAGAATCTCTGGGATGCACCTAAAGCTGTGTTGAGGGAAATTGATAGCACTAAATTCCCACATCAAAAAGCTAGAAAGATTTGAAATTGACATCCTAACACCACAACTGAAAGAACTAGAGAACCAAGAGCAAACAAACCCTAAAGCTAGCAGAAGACAAGAAATAACCAAGATCGTAGTGGAACTGAAGGAGATAGAGACATGAAAACCCCTTCAAAAAAAAAATCAATGAATCCAGGAGTTGGTTTTTTGAAAAAAAAAAAAATCAAATAGATAGACCACTAGCTAGACTAATATAGAAGAAAAGAGAGAAGAATCAAATAGACAGAATACAAAAATGATAAAGGGGATATCACCACTGAACCCACAGAAATACAAACAACCATCCGAGAATACTATAAACAACTTAATGCATATAAACTAGAAAATCTAGAAGAAATGGATAAATTCTTGGGTACATACACTTTCCCAAGACTGAACCAGGAAGAAGCTGAATCCCTGAATAGACCAATAACAAGTTCTGAAATTGAGGCAGTAATAAATAGCCTACCAACCAAAAAAAGCCCAGGACCAGATATACAGATGTACAGCTGGAACCAGACATATAGCTGGCACCATTTCTCCTGAAACTATTCCAAACAATTGAAAAGAAGGGTCTCCTCCTTAACTCATTTTATGAGGCCATCATCATCCTCATACCAGAACCTGGCAGAGATACAACAAAAAAAAGAAAACTTCAGGCCAATATTCCTGATGGACGTCGATGCAAAAATCTCAATAAAATACTAGCAAACCGAATCCAGCAGCAGACCAAAAAGCTTATCCACCATGATCAAGTCGGCATCATCCCCAGGATGCAAGACTACTTCAACATAAGCAAATCATTAAACATAATTCATCGCATAAACAGAACTAAAGACAAAAACCACACGATTATCTCAATAGGTGCAGAAAAGGCCTTTGAAAAAATTCAGCAGCCCTTCATGCTAAAAACTCTCAATAAACTAGGTATTGATGGAATGTATCTCAAAATAATAAGAGATATTTATGACAAATCCACAGCCAATATCATAGAGAATGGGCAAAACCTGGGAGCATTCCCCTTGAAAACCGGCACAAGACAAGGATGCCCTCTCTCACCACTCCTATTCAAGATAGTATTAGAAGTTCTGGCCAGGGCAATCAGGCAAGGGAAAGAAACAAAAGGGTATTCAGAGAGGAAGAAAGGAAGTCAAATTGTCTCTGTTTGCAGATGACATGATCCTATATCTAGAAAACCTGCAGCTGGATGTGGTGGCTCACACCTGTAATCCCAGCACTTCGGGAGGCCAAGGCAGGTGGATCACCTGAGGACAGGAGTTCAAGACCAGTCTGGCCAACATAGTGAAACCCTGTCTTTACTGAAAATACAAAAATTAGCCGGGCGTGGTGGCAGATGCCTGTAATCCCAGCTACTCGGGAGGCTGAGGCACGAGAATTGCTTGAACCCGGGAGGCAGAGGTTGCAGTAAGCTGAGATCATGCCACTGCACTCCAGCCTGGACAACAGAGCAACGCTCAGTCTCAAAAAAAAGAAGAAGAAGAAAGAAAACCCCATTGTCTCAGCCCAAAAGCTTCTCAAGCTGATAAGCAACTTCAGCAAAGTCTCAGGATAAAATCAATGTGCAAAAATTACAAGCATTCCTATACACCAACAAAAGACAAGCAGAGAGCCAAATCATGAATGATCTCCCATTCACAATTGCTACAAGGAGAATAAAATACCTGGGAATACAGCTAACAAGAGAAGTGAAGAATCTCTTCAAGGAGAACTACAAACTACTGCTCAGGGAAATCAGAGAGGACACAAACAAATAGAAAAACATTTCATTCTTATGGATAGGAAGAATCAATATTGTGAAAATGGACGCACTGCCCAAAGTAATTTATAGATTCAATGCTATTTCCATTAAACTACCATTGACATTCTTCATAGAATTAGAAAAAAAAAACTATTTTAAAATTCATATGGAATCAAAAAAGAGTCTGAATAATGAAGACAAGCTTAAGCAAAAAGAACAATACTGGAGACATCACACAGCCCAACTTTAAACTATACTGCAAGACTGCAGTAACCAAAACAGCATGGTAGTGGTACAAAAACAGACACTCAGACCAATGGAACAGATTAGAGAACTCAGAAATAAGACCACACATCTACAACCATCTGATCTTTGACAAACCTGACAAAAACAAGCAATGGGGAAAGGATTCCCTATTTAATAAATGGTGCCAGGAGAACTGGCTAGCCATATGCAGAAAATTGAAACTAGACACTTTCCTTACAGTTTATACAAAAATTGACTCAAAATTGATTAAAGACTTAAATGTAAAACCCAAAACTATAAAAACCCTAGAAAAAAATCTAGGCAATACCATTCAGCTCATAGGCACAGGCAAAGATTTCATGATGAAAACGTCAAAAGTAAAACAGAAAGGGGGCCATACACACCAGGGCCTGTTGGGGGGCATGGGGTAGGGGGAGGGATAGCTTTAGGAGAAATACCTAATGCAGATGACAGATTGATGGGTGCAACAAACCACCATGGCACATGTATACCTATGTAACAAACCTGCACATTCTGCACATATACCCCAGAATTTAAAGTGTAATAATTTTTTAAAAAATGGACAAATGGGATGTAACTAAACTAAGGAGCTCTGCAAAAGAAACTATCATCAGAACAAACAAACAACCTACAGAATGGAAGAAAATTTTTTGCAATCTATCCATCTGACAAAGATCTAATAATTAGAATCTACAAGGAACTTGAACAAATTTACAAGAAAAAAAAACAGCCCCATTAAAAAGTGGGCAAAGAACATGAACAGACACATGCCTCAAAAGAAGACATTTATGTGACCAACAATTATATGAAAAAGAAGTTCAACATCACTGATCATTACAGAAATGCAAATCAAAACCACATTGAGATACCATCTCACGCATCAGAATGACAATTATTAAAAAGTCAAGAAACAACAGATGCTGGCAAGGCTATGGAGAAATAGGAAAACTTTTACACTGTTGGTGGGAATGTAAATTAGTTCAATCATTGTGGAACAGAGTGAGGCAATTCCTCAAAGATCTAGAACCAGAAATACCATTTGACCCAGCAATCTCATACTGGATATATACCCAAAGGGGTAAAAATCATTCTATTATAAAGATACATGCATGTGTATGTTGATTGCAGTACTATTCCCAATAGCAAAGACATGGAATCAACCCAAATGCCCATTATTGATAGACTGAATAAAGAAAATGTGGTACATATACACCATGAAATACTCTGCAGCCATAAAAAGGAATGAGATCATGTTCTTTGCAGGGACATGGATGGAGCTGGAAACCATTATCCTCAGCAAACTAACACAGGAACAGAAAACCAAACACCACATGTTCTCATTTATAAGTAGGAGCTGAACAATGTGAACACAAAGACACATGGAGAGGAACAACACACACTGGGGCCTGTCAGGGTTGGGGTGGGCAAGGGAAGGGAGAGCATCAGGAAAAATAGCTAATGCGTGCTGGGCTTAATACCTAGGTGATGGGTTGATAGGTGCAACAAATCACCATGGCACACGTTTACCTATGTAACAAACCTGCACATCCTGCACATGTACCCTGGAACTTAAAATAAATTACAATTTATTATTTTTAAATTAAAAAAATTTAAAAAAAGAAAGAAATATCGAAGTCTGGAAAACACCATAACCATGGCCATTCATAATAAACTAATTAAATATTGGCACACAGATCAAAACAACAAGAAAAAGAATATTGGAAATCATTTCCTAGACTATGGTTGCTCTCTCCAGTGACCACACCTTTCCAAAGCCAAAACAGAGAGGGAGAAAGGAAAAGGGAAAGGAAAGGAAAAGGAAAAGAGAAAGGGAAAGGGAAAGGGAAGGAAGGGAAAGGGAAGGAAAGGAAAGGAAAGGAAAGGAAAGGAAAGGGAAGGAAAGGAAAGGAAAAGAAAAGAAAAGGAAAGGTTACATGAACTTTTCAACTAGGTATGTAGTTTTAAGGTTAACGTTTTTTTGATTGCAAGGGAAGGGAAGGGGAAGGGGAAGGGGAAGGGGATATATGAACTCTTCAACTAGGCATGTAGTTTTAAGGTTAACATTTTTCTGATCCCCAGTGTTGTCTATTATCTCCAGTTTGCATTTTTCAGTCTTAGATTATTTGTGTAAAAGCATTCAGTAGGCAATTCAGTAAATATGTGGCCTTTTGGTATGTGTATCACTACAAATGGGTGCAATAATGACTAGTTATGAGAAATTCAGCCACTCTGCGATGCTGACCACAGTAATAGATTCCTTTCCAGGAATGTATGTAATCTTGCATCAAAAACATTGCTTTTTGACATGCATAAAATATAGTTTAATTTATAATAGTTTTATTAGTCATTGGATCTTTACTTATTTGTTCCAATACTTCCCAGGATAACAAATGTCACTTACATGTGTGATAAAAAAGAATCTAATTGAGACCCATTCCCTAATCACATCCCCTGCAAACTATACTTTACTTATGATCTATTAATCAATAAAACTTTAGCGCCTTCATTTAAGTTGATGTTCCAATGGACATCTGAGAGTCTCTATTGGTAAATGGAATAGGGAGGGCTTGATGCGAGATGGATAATAAAATTGGTTTTCAAAAGATAGACCTAACTATATGAGATCTAGACAGCTGATGAGGGAAGAGTGGGTCTTAAGAGGGCAACATTACCTGTGACTGACTCCAAGTCACCAAATATTCTAATATAGTTTACAAGTTTCAGAAAATCACTTTGGAGTAGTAAATCAAACAATTAGCAGTTGTGATACGAAAAAGAAAAAAGAAGTTGCTGAGAAAATAAACACAATGGGAATGGAAGTTGAGGACCTATTTTAGGTAGAATAGTAAGGACTACATTTTTGAAAAGGTAACATGTAGATTGAGACCAGAGGATTCAGTGGTGTCAGTCATGAGAGATGCAGGAGTGAGAGAGAAAATACATGGGCAAAGTCTCTGAGCCTGAGAAGAACTTGGTATAGTTGAAGAAGTAAAAGCAACCCAAAATGTCAGGAGCACAGTAAGCAAGAGGAAGAGGGAGCAAGGCTGGCATGGTCTTTTCATAACCTAAAAAGTTCTTTAATCCTAAAGACTGGATTGGAAAGGACAAAGAATAAATATAGGAAGGTGTTGCACTATTCATAATGGGAGAGGATGCTGACCTAAAAAAGGTGCTATGGAACGAATATTTGTGCCCCCTCAAATTCACATGTTAAAACCTATTCCCCAGTGTGATGGTATTGCAGATGGGGACTTTGGTGATTTGATCACAAGGAGTCCTCATGAATGAAATAAGTATTCTTATAAAAGAGATCCCAGAGAGCTCCCCTGCCCTTTCCATCATGTGAAGACACAGCAAGAAGACAACAGTCAGTAATCCAGGAGGGGGCCCTGATCAGACACCAAATTTGCCAATGCCTTGATCTTGGACTTCCCACTCTTCAGAACTGTAAGAAAATTTTTGTATTGTTTCTAGGCCACCAGTCTATGGTATTTTTATTATAGCGGTCTATATGGACTAAGACAGAAAAAAAAGTTAGCAAATAAAGCTGGTTATGTTGGAGACATGTTTGGGAGAAAGACTGAATAGGCTGAACTGATAGATTGGATGAGGGGTATAAGAGAAAGGGAGAGATCAAGGATGACACTTATATTTCTGGCTTGAGCAACTGAGTGGATGATGGAGGTAGATTACTAAAAGGGGAAAAACTATTAAAGTGGGTAGTGTTAATGGAATGAAAATGTAGAGGGGAAAATCAAGAATCTTCAAATGTGTTGTATTTTGGGAACTGGTGCAACCTCCAGTGTGGCTGCTGGTAGACAATTTCATATGCAAGTCAGTAATTCAAAGGAAACGCTAGGGGTGGAAGTCAAAATCTCTTCGGTCTTATGTCCAGACACACATTGCACACATGTGCAAGAGGACATGGAGGCTCTGTATTAAAAGGGTGATATTTGTAGGTGACTTTTTCTGCAATCAAAGCCATATGCTGACATTTTCAGACACTCCTTTCTTCTTCTCTCTATCCAATAGCACTAAAACAATGAAGGTACATTTGCAAAGACCAGCTATGCCTCTCTGTGTCTCTCCTCCCTCTCTCTCTCTGCCTCTTTCATTCTCTCCCTCATGTTCCCTTCCTCTTTCCCACTCCTCTTCTTGATTCCCCAGTTCCCTCCCCTCTACCTTCATTTGATTTATGTCTATGCATAGCTCAATAATAAAATCTGAATATTAGTTTTGAGCAATTTGCAAGTGAGCAGGCCTTACCCACCCATGGCCTGTTTCCATATGTAGCTATTAAACCTAACTGATTGAGGAAAAACGTGGCCACAACTAACTAGAGTTCTCTATACTGTCATTGAGGACCCAAGACCAGCTAAGGACAAAATGTAACTTTCCTCCTATATGTCCTTTTAACTTGTGAATATAGCACCCCCTAGGAAAGGATGACTGTGATCTAGGGTAAATTCTAGATATACTGGATGACCCAATGTCAGCATCACTACCGATAAAGCTCAAATTTCTTCATTTAGTCTCATACTGTAACTGTCAGTTGGTTGCCTACTTTGCTAATTGACTTTCAGAATTTAATAATTAAGACATTCACTGTATATATAATATACTGTCCTTCTAGACTGTACTCTTCTGATTCCCTTTAACTTGAAACAGATCCAGTCACCAGCTTCCAGGCTGCAGCACATCTCAGCTGTGGAGTTTTGTAAATGCTCTAGCAATTGAAGTGTATCTTCACTATTGAATGGCATCCCTCATCTGCAAAGTCATTTACAAACTTTACTGATCAAGCTGTACATTTCTGAGTTGGAATTTAATCTACAGAGCCCTTTGCAAAATGAGCAGAATCCTTTACTAATCATGGGCAATGGTAGAATTTATTCAGCCTGTGGTAATTTGCATTATTTGCTTATTACACCCTTTGGTTTCTGCTGCAGACTGCTGTGTGTGCTGAGTTGCTGAAGCTGGGAAGTCACTCATCATATCCTACTCCCGAGGTAAGAGCATTTTGGTTGTGGAAGAAATGTCTTCTTAATGTGAAAATCTCACTGTTCATGCATGCACATATTCTCTATGTCCACATGATGCCATACTGTGAGTTCTGCCTGTACACCAACTCATAAAATTCTATGAAGGTATGATGTTCCAAAACATTAAACCAAAAGCAAACATTACTCCATTTAGCCACAGACACTGTATGGCTCCCCTCAGCCTAACACCGCAAACACTGTTTGCATTCGATGGTCCGTGTTCCCTAATGCTAATTAAATTGTTCCTATGCTACGTTTTACTGCTCTTACCCTAAAAAAAGTATTGTCAATTAATTAAACAGTATGATATGTTTAATTATTTTAATCGACCGTACATGCCATTTTATGATTTCTTCTCCAAAAAATATTTTATTCCAACTAAAACATAGAGAATCAATGAGTCAAAACGCCATGAATTAAAGAAATGCAAGCACAAATTTTTATTTCTGGTTAGCAACCCTAGATAATCTGCAACAGAAAATTACGATACAATGAATCGGAGCATTGTTTTAAAAAATAAACTGCACTGCCTTAAAACTCTGGAAAATGCATTATTTCATATGGCGAATGAATAAACTCTTGGAGGAAGGATTATATTCACATCCATTAGTATCTGAACCAACATCTAGACTTGTCAGGAAGATCAATATACTTGGTTTGTGTTTGCATCACAGAATAGCAGGAGGGCTTTTAGCTGGATAATACCTAGAGTTTAATCCTGGTGTATCAGAAGATAAAGCACTCAATTGTCCAAGAGATTATAAAGCGTATGTATTAGTACCTTGTAGACATTAACAATATAGACATTAGACCAGATAAGAGAATATGTACAATCTTGAGCACAAAAATATAATACTGGGTGACTCATTTATGCTTGTTGAAGATTTTTCTCAAGAAAGCACATAAAAATGACTAAGGTTGCCTACAGTATGCAGGCAAGAAAATATATAGCCCAGTTATAAAGTCAGGAAATATGTTCTATATTAACAAATTCACTCCTCCATCCATAAATTGTATGCAAGGAAGATTAAATAATTCCAACATGACAGAACTTGTTAAAAATAAAAGGTATATAAATCTTCACCTTCCTTTTTAAACTAATCTCCACATTTGTCCGGGAAAGATCAGGACCAACAATAATTGCCCCATTTATGGCTCTCCTACATACGTTTCCAATTTGTCTACTGAGAAATAAATGTTCTAGAAATCAAATCAAGTTATAAAAACTATTGAATATCACAATTGGATCCTTAAATGTTTTGAGGTCTGTAGCATCTAACAGACCTTTGGAAAATCTATTTCTAAAAAGAACTTTTGAAGATTTTGATAAATGTATTTTTTGTTTTACTCTCATTTTGTTTTATTCCTGGGCAGATTTCTCTGGTTTTCAGGACACCCCATTGATTTCAAAAGCTGCTTCACAGGGGCCTTCCTAGGAGTGTTCCAAGAATCTGGCAAATGTTAAGAAGAAAGGTTTTAATTTCAAAAATGTGATTCAAATTATTTATGTTTAATCACTTTTATAAAATAATCATTGATATATTGTGGGGAATGAGATATTTCAGAAAAATTCAAAAGAACATTTGAAAAATGTGTGGCACCTTTTATTATTTAGTTGTTTTCTAGATAATTTTTACAGTGTACACCCCAGTGGGGACATGCTCACAAAATCTATCTCACTATTAGATTTTTGCCAGATACAATAGAGCAGAAAGACAGCTCAGATGGGATTGGACAGGCAGAGTAAAAACTGAAGCAAAACTATTCCAAGTTTAAAGATTTATTCACTTAGCATTGAGTTCCTGCTGGGGAATAACTTGCTGATTTGCCTTGAAGTAACTACAGCTCGTCCTGAAATATGAACAACCTGCATGTCACTGGCCTATGTGACAGGCCTTTGCAGGACAATCTGTGAATGTTACAATAATCTATAGGGTTTTCTTTTTATGTAAGCACTCTCTCTAATTCCTTGAGGACTACCCAAGATGGTACTTAGCATTAAACTCAGGCCCTACTCCTTGGTTTCCTTTCTAGCCACTAACAAGAAGGACAAAGATGAGTGACAGCCCATGGGTTATACAGGCAAACTTACTTAAGCTAAGGTTGTAACCAGTAATTATTTATTAATTTAGACTAGGGGAGCATAAAATGGGGCCATGAGGGAAAAAACTGGGTGCTTGCTTAGGATGCTTTTGCATAAGAAGATTATCCCATCACCAACACAAAAAATATTGGGTGCCTTGGGGAGAGCTAGCCTGCTGCTTTACATGAAGAGCGTGTCCCTGGGAGATCTGGCACTAGCCAATGGGATCAAAAGAGAAATTCAGAACACAAGTGCTGGGAAATAGCCCAGCAGATGACAAACAACTAAAACTCTTGTGTGATAAGGTACTAATAGTCATGGCTGCATTAGGCTTGCCCTGTCAACTTTGCCCCCACAGCATGGCTTAGTAAAAGTGTTGAAAATTACAGCAGCCCCTCTATTTGAAAATACCTGGCATAGGTCAGGAAAGACGGGGATATCTAGGCTGAAGATAATGCGTTTTACAGTGGGAAGTCTTGTAGTATGCATGATTTGATTCCTCTGACCCATCATTTTAGAGTTGAAACTGATAAATTTGTTATCTTTTCATTGAGTGTCTTCTATTCGCTAGCAGTGAATCCTATAATCAATGATGTTATAGTATAAAACCATTTTAAAGTATCATATTATAGAATGGATCTTCTTCACCTGGGGTCCCTGAACTTGAATGAAAAGAAAAAAATACTGACATCCTTATTTTCACGAACCCTTAGCTAAAATTTCAAATATGAATGGAAAACAAGCCACATTTGTAGTAGCAGCACTTGTGACATAGTCAGCATTAGAAATAACAGGTATTTTTGTATCACATTATCGTTTTCACAGATAACACATATAACCATTACTATTTTGAATTGGTGGTTATTAGACCTATTAGGAGATTATAGATAATCATAGATAATAAAATGTTAATTGTGGCCAGGCGCAGTGGCTCATGCCTATAATCCCAGCACTGTGGGAGGCCAAGGTGGGCAGGTCGCCTGAGGTCAGGAGTTCGAGATCAGCCTGACCAACATGGTGAAACCCCATTTCTACTAAAAATACAAACATTAGCTGGGTGTGGTGGCAGGTGCCTGTAATCCCAGCTACTCGGGAGGCTGAGGCAGGAGAATCACTTGAACCCGGGAGGCAGAGGTTGCAGTGAGCCAAGATTGCACCATTGCACTCCAGCCTGGGTGACAAGAGGGAGACTTCGTCTCAAAAAAAAAAAAGAAGTTAATTGTTATGATGTCACAAAATGTTTATATTTTAATATAATTGTTTTAATCTTAGGTATTTTTTGTAAGTTTAAAAACATTACTCTAAGAAGGGGGCCCATGAGCATATTAGTTTTTAGGGCTGCCATAACAAAGTATCACAAACCGGGTGGCTTAAATGACAGAAATTTATCTCCCAGGTCTGGAGACTAGAAACCTTAGATCACAGTGTCAGCAAGATTGGTTCCATCTGAGAGCTGGGAGGAAAAAATCTGCCCTGTGCCTCTTCTCTGGCTTCTTGTGGTTTTCTAGCAATATTTAGTACTCCCTGGCTTACAGAAGCATCATTCTAATCTCTATTACCATTCTGATCTCTGTCTGTACCTTACCTTCACCTGGTATCATCATTTGTATGTGTGTCTGTCTCCAAACTTCCCCTTTTTGTAAAGACACTAGTATAATGGATTAGAGCCCATCCTAATGACCTCAATTTAGCTTTTATCTCCAGAAAGATCATATCTCCAAATAAGGGCACATTCTGAGATGATGGAGATTAGGACTCTAAAATATCTTCTTGGGGGAATCATAATTCAACCCGTAATAATAGGCTTCAACAGACTGCGAGAGCAACCCCTGTTACAAAAAAGGTTAAGAATCCTATTATAGAAGAATATTCAATGTAAGAAAATATTTTAATATATTCAAATGAGAAAAAATATATAAAAACCATAGTTTATAATATTATTTTTCTTATGCATATATATTTTTTCTTATAGTTCTTTCTTACATAAGAAAAAGGCTGGAAGACTATACAACAAAAATATATATCAGCAAGTTTTCTTTGAAGGGTGAGATTGAGGACCAAGGAGATACGGGTGAGGTTTACTTTCTCCTTTGTGCTCTTCTGAAATTTTCAAATGTTCTTTATGTCAGCATTTCAAGTGGTCTGTATCTCTAAAAGAAGGTGTCACATAATAAAAATATCTTTAAAGGTTTTAGATGTGAAAGTATCTCCACTCTGTGAGCCTTAATTAAAACCTAAAATTCTACCTTAAATGGTTCCATCTCTTTAAATGCATTCTATCCTAAGTATTTGGAAAACGAATAACTTTTCTCCTCATGGTTTCCAAAAGGTAGGTTTTATTAAATACATAGAAAAAACTGTTACCATTGTGATATGGTTTGGCTCTGTGTCCACACCCAAATCTCATGTTGAATTATAATCCCCAGTGTTGGGGGAAATACCTGGCGGGAGGTGACTGGATCACCGGAGCAGAGTTCCCCCTTGCTGTTCTCGTGATAGTGAGTCCTCACAAGAGCTGGTTGTTTGAAAGAGCATTTTCCCCTTTGCTCACTGTCTCTCTGCTGCCACCATGTGAAGACATGTTTGCTTTCCCCTTGCCCTTCTGCCATGATTGTAAGTTTCCTGAGGCCTCCCCAGCCATGCCTCCTGTACAGCCTGTGGAACGGTGAGTCAATTAAACCAATTTTCTTTATAAATTACCTAGTCTCAGGTAGTTCTTTGCGGCAGTGTGAGAACGAACACAGTGTGACTATAATTGCCACTGAGCCCTCTTACAAATAAAATGAGAAGTGTATACAATTTTCAATAAAATTGAATATAAAAATATTTCATTTAAGTGCATGTATTCAGAAATAAATCTCAAGTAAAGTCAGTGAAGAAATAATATGAAGTTAAAAAAGTGTGAAAGAGATGAGAAAACAGTAGTGATGAGTGAGGCCAGTACCTTCTGGATGTCTGAAGAATGGGAAAAGGAAAGCAATTGGCTGAATTGTGCCGATAGTTATCCAAATCACCTATATATTATTTTTGCTTCAGAGACCTAACTATTGCATATACATAGTAAAAATAAAAAACCTGATCAGTTCAACCTTAAATAAAACAATTTTTAACAATTAGTTGAATGATCATCCTTGAAATTTTCCCCTTGAGAAACTTCAGAGCATTGCCACAATTCTCTACTTCTCTTTGACAATTGTTACCCAATATCAATGCATATGGAAAGACATTAGGTAGCATCTAAGGTATAATCCTATGCTATTATTTTAGATGAAAGAATACCAGAAATTAAAATGGAAAAGGATGGAAATATAAAAGTTAGAGAGAAGGGTAAGATGAGGTCTACACAAGCAACAGCGAAGTGGATTGTTTCTCAGTAGACAAAGTCCTGGCTTTGGCACCTGGGCTAGAATTCACTTTTAAGATGCTGGAAATGACCAGACATTCTGCTCTGCTCCCAGTCCTTTAGACACAAAGGCAATCAAGTGCAATGTTGACCACTGAGGCTTTTGTAGTCAGACTTTCTGGGATTAAAACCAAGCTCTGACCTGAGGTACTTGCTTTTTGTTAGTTGTTATTTATCTTCCCTGTATTTCAGTTTTCTGCTCTGCAAAACTTACACAATAGTAGCTACCACCAGGGATTATTATGCAGATCATTTGTTAGAAAAGATATGTAAAGCAATTGTCTTAATCTCTGAAAAATAAGTCCCTAAATAATTATTTTATTATTTTATTAATAATAGTATTATTGTTACTACTATTGATTTTTTAACTCCCATCAGTTCTACATAGAGATTAAATTTTCATGATGGTTCACATAGTATAGACCCATCAAAGAACCACTGGGAAATTAAAATGTCAATGTCCTACATCTACTACTGCTCATGCATTTAAAACCAACTCCTTTTGCCCCTCTATACTTTAATTGTCAATACAGAGGTGCTTATTAACACTTCTGAAGCACATTGGTATTGTGTAGTGATCCCTGTCTCTCTCTTGCTGACTCAGATTCCTCTCTTGTCTTTACTTATCCTTTGTTCTCTCTAACTCAAAGACATCAAGAAAAAGAGAAATCTGGTTTCTAGTTCAGGCTTCAGCTTCTGAAGACTTGATTTGTAGTAGGAATAGAAGCAGCATGTTTTTAACTTCTGATGACTCTTCATTTCAGAAAGCTGCTTTAAAAGATCTCAAGAGATCAATATCAGAAGTGATGGCACTTATGGTTACATTATTGGTCAGAAAACAGGAGTTATCTGTTTGTGACCATAAATCTGAAACATAAACCAGCTGGTTAAAATCACAGATCACAAGCATGAGCTCTATGAAAAGGAATTTAAACAAAAATATTCTATAGCTTACCAAACATGTATTTTGCTTTATAATTTTCAAGGCATATTATAATACAGAAAAGAAATGTGAAAATACCATCTGCACAGCCACTATTTGGGGGAAATTCAATAATGCTATGAAGAAAAATTAATACACTGGCACATAAGCAAAGTAAATCAATCTAGATTTAAATAAGCAACATTCAAGATTCAAAACTATTTTAAATATTTCCAAAAGGAGGAAAAATCAAACATAAAACACATGCCTGTAGTGTTATTGGAATAAGATTACTTGTAAGATATAAGATACCATAAGTTTTGCTCTTGTCATTGCACTGTTTTTCCCTGTCTACACAGTCAACATCACAATGGTGTGGCATGAGATCACAACTCCCATTTACTTTAATAGTAGCTCTAAGGTGACAATAAGAATTCAAAATCCTGCTGTGTATTAAACTACTTTATGAGGATGAAATCAGTAAATTCACAATATTAACATATGTTCAATACACAGGTGGAGTTTGTTAATTACATTGTGTATGCATTCTGACTTGGTTGGGTTTACTCTAAAAATCTTGGGGAAAATTACATATATGAAGACAGAGACAACAAAGTCACCATATGAGCTGTTGTCAATAAGGATTCTTATGTCTCTTTGAGGTTAAACATAATGTGGGTTTGCCTGCTACAGATATAAGTTGGTCTTTCGTTTTTTGTCTCACAAGCTAAGGGGTAAAATTCTCCATTTTTGTACATTTATGAGGTAGTTTTTTAGGAGCTCAAAGCAGTTCAAATTGAACAGTAACTATCTAATTTTGCATCTTCGTGTGTACCAATTATTACTGGAACTGGCAATAAAACTTTTGCTGAAAGCAATGTTATGCATCATGTTCTAAGCTGACTTTCTGGCACAGCATCACATGTACTATTGTAAAATAGTTTGTTCCAGTCAACCTCAGCTGGAGCTACAGTGACAACATTTTGCAGAGGATGAGACTTAATTGCATGTAAATGTCATTTTTTAAAGATCCCAGAAACAAAGAAAAAAATCTGGATTCAAAAAAAATCTCATAATAACAAGTCACTAGGAATGAGCCTTGGACCAGGAGACTGGATGAACTCTGAGATGTCATATCTTTAATTTGAAGAAATTACAATGTTTGAGGTGATGGATATACCCATTCTGCATGATGTGTTTATTGTGCATTGCATGTCTGTATGAAAGCACCTCATGTACCCCTTTGAAATATATACACCTACTATGTACCCACAAAAATTAAAAATACAATTTCAAAAAAGAACCTACAAATATAATCCTAAATTCTTAAAACAAAAAACAAAGCAGACAATTTTCTTAGCTGATATGCAGGGGTCTGTCCCGCAGACCCTGACCCAACTATGGATGAATAACATACACTGACACAGATATTATGCTTCTCAGTCCAGCTGACGGTCTGGGCCACTTACAGGTTCCAAGGAGAGTGCTGCAAGGAGTTGCAGCCATGGCCCGACTAGCTGGCCCTGCCGGCATCTATTCAGCACACATTAAATGATAAAGGCTTTGAGTCAACACCATTAGAAGGTAATCAACCTGGTCATCTCCCCCCCTCCAACACGCCACCGCCATCCCCACCCCACCCCCTGCAGAGCCATCCTGCCTGCGAATGATCAAAGGTTAGTTTTAGGACCACATGAGTAAACAAGTTATTTAGATAAACTCCTCTACATTCCTATGTATCTACTCTAAGTTATTTACTCAAGGTAAAGATTAGGCTGCTTTCAGACATAACCCTATCCTGAGACTTTTCAAAAACCTTCCGGCCTTCCAAGAAGATTTGTGTTTATATCCTACAACTTCATCGTAAATTTTTTCTCACCAGCCTGACAGAACTCCCACACTGATAACCCTAATCTTTTAAATAATTTTATTTTAAAAACACAGGTTAAATGTTTACTAAAATAATAAAGATATATATTTGCAGAAGTTACATAAGGCTTTAACAAAGTACACAGGAATTTTTACAGCTTGTTGACTCACAAACAAAGATGACAAAAAGAGTGAAATTTATTTTTAGTAGTCCAGCTTCCAATATGTAAGATGTAACCTATTATACAGTGACATACTGGTTGTGCTTCATCAAACTGATTATATACCATTTTATGAGGATGTAATCCACTGGGATTTAAGTAGTCCAATGTAATCACTTATAATAAGATGGATCAGTACAGGTTGTGAAAATAAAATCTTCCAAGCAATAGATCAAGACAGATAAAGTTATGTATGTTGAAGATCTCTGGATCGAAAGATAGCGTATAATTACGGGACTTTTACGGTTTAGTAGCAACCAGTTTTCCCATAAAGAAGTCAGCACAATAAATATTTTCTTTAGGTTCTATCCATTGGAACAGTCAGTATATTTAATAAGAAAGCAATCAAAGGTTTTCCTTTTTAAGAACTCTTCTCACTTGCTAAATCACAAGTCAATGATTTCTCCTTTTTCCTGACCCACTGTAAATCTCCCAGTTTTTCCGAAAACCAAATATCATAACCCTTGCACCACCAAAATTAAAAACTTGGAATGAGAAAGTAATGGGATAGGACTAAGATTGGATAGGAGAAAGGTTGTGTGCATGTAACTTCTCTTAAGTCTTAATGGCCTCTGTGACCAACAGGGACTGGGAATGAAAGAGAACCAATGTGCTTACCTTCCCAGTTTCCTCGACTGCAAAGCAGGTAGTTCAAGAATAAAGAAAACAGAAAATAAGCATGTAGGACCAGAGAAAGAGAGCTACCCTGCCAATATCCTCACTCTTTCTCCTCCCCTTTTCCATTTTAGTCCTATGCTAACCACAAGGAAATTCTACCTTGGGAAAAAATATGGATAAACCTTTTTCAAAGAGTTTACAATCAGTTAAATTTTGAGAAAAAGAAGGAAATGGAAACCAATGTAACCCATAGCCTCTCTCCTCCATCTCATATTTGCCTGAAGCCTGCATCCATTTCCCTCTGTATCCAAAGTGCACACTCTCCTCCTCCTCCTCGTCTTCCTCCCCTTCTCTTCCCCCTCTTCCTTATTCCCCTCCTCCTTTTCCTCCTCTTCCCTCTTGCTTCCCTCTTTCCTCTCCTCCTTTCGCTCCCCTTCTCTTCTCTCTGCCTTTTGCTCCCCCTCTCCTTTACTCCCATTGTCTTGTCTCTTCTCCTTTCTAGTATAGCCTTTACTCTCTTTTCTTGTAAACACTGTACTCTGGCATAATCTATACCAAATTAAACAATGAAACAAGTTAAGGTAAAGGGACTTCATGCTTCCATATGCCAATAATTATTAACATTTATTGACTGTTTAATATAGCTGAGCACTCAGCAAGGCAACTTGCATGCATATTTTAACTTTAATCCTCAAAAAAATCTACAATGGTGGATTCTACCTCTTTCCCCAGTTTTTATATTACAAATCTAATGATAAAGGTAACCAACTTGCCAAAGGTTACAATCCATTTAAATAAAAAATCAAATTTCAGTATTTTTACTTACCACGTGAAAATAACTAAGAGGAATTTCACCAAATTTGGAGAAAATGATTGGGATAGTCAGACTGAAATATAGGCACAGATCATAGAAAAAAATCCACTTTGGGGGATCTATGGAGGCTATGGAGGCTGAAATCTTCCAGAGAAACTCTACCTGGGGTTTAAAAGGCCATAATTGCTGTTTATAAGGGACGGGCAAATAATGATTGAAAATATGACCCATGAATCTGAAGTCTCTCTCTCTCTCTGTCTCTCTCTCTCTCTCACACACACACACACACTATATATATACATACACATAAGGTAATACATATATCTGTGTGTGTACATATATACGAATTTACAAGCATAGATATGTGAGGAAGTTGCTCCTTATGGGACGACTCCATGAAGTATGATCCAGGAATAGGAAATTGTGTATTTAGTAATAATAACTCTCCAGAAGCTAGCTTAGGATATATACTAAATACCCAAACAATTATTCTTTCAATGATATGGGCTGCAGAATTTTGACTAGAGGGTGTTCCACAAACTCAGAGATTACCCTCTGGGCATCCGTTTGTGTTTGCTACAGGTTTGACAGACCCTGAACAATGCCAAAATTGTTTGCTAGCAAGAACCTGTCATAATCAAGCATGCCAAGTTAATCATGAGAGAATAGAAAATGTTGTGGGTGATTAAGAACTTATTTTACAGTTGGGAAACAAATCCAAAAAATTACAGAGGTTATCAGATGTAGACAACAGCCTCCAGAGTCTATTCAATACCAACCACAGCAGAAATATGGTTGCCCAGTTATTACATAGTGTGTTGGAAAGAATGCAGTCTTTGGAATTAGAGAGATGTCAGTTCAGATCTCAGCTCTGCCAATGATCACTTAGCAAGAGATCATCACCACCACCTACCACCTCTCCACCACCTACCTCCCCTGCTGCCAGCCTCAGTTTCTCACTCATTTTAATTTTTAAATAATAAAGGCACTTTGCATCCTTTTTGTAAGGATGTGATATAATGCATGCAAACTGTCTAGCTGAGATATACAGGCTATTGATGTTACAACTGCTATTATTATTGTCCTTTTAAAATTGAATAGCACTTGGCCATGTGTCAAATGAAATGTTTCTATATCAATACAGCATCATTAATTTATATTCAAATTGCTGTTTCCTAAAACCCACCTCAACCCATTCCTAAAGTACCACTAATTCATCCCCATCCTGTATTTACTGTGCACATTTTTGGTGTGTGACTATACCACTTTGCTGTAACAACCTTTTGAAGTGAAATTAGAAGCAACATCCAAAATCTACACATTCATTATTCTTTGTAGCCACATTATTATCTCTTTGTTCTTATAGCTCCAATTCTATATTCCATCTAACAATTTCTTCACAGGTTGTATCCTTGAGGAAAAGTTCACAAGGCTGATTTATGAGTGGAAAAAGTAATTTAACAACAGTTGCATTCTGTAAATGCTGATACATAGATAAGATAGATATGACTGGTGTCTGAACGCATTAAAAAGAAACAAAATTATGTTCACATTATGTGGTAAAACATTGCTGTTTTTATTTTCCTGTAGTATAAATCAGCATATAGATTAATTCATTCATATAATTATATTTGCAGCTCTTTTACCTTTATTCATGGCTGTAACATTTTTATGGGAAAGAGCACTTTGCACATCAGTGTAAAACATCTTTTGAGCACTATGGCAGAAGGTCAGAGACGGTATGTGGGCCTGTGGACATTGTGAACCATCTGAGCTCTGCTAGGATAAAAAAGCAGATGCTTTGGCAATTTTACATTACAAACACCAGGAAGATTTTTAGACAATAGATCCTTGATTGCCAAGCTGCTGAAGATAGTTATTTCATCTCTGGAACATAACTGGTCTGCTGGCATTACACCCACGTTACTCGAAGAGATGAAAATAAAATTATAAAGGGCTATGTAAAGCCTGAAATGGCCACCTTTAAGTTTGATCTTCCCCTTAATGTTGCAGAGTTCATAAAATATGCATTAATTCCAGTTTTTAATAGCTTTTGTCAATCCATCTTTCTTCTTCAAATAGTAGACAATGCCTAATAGATTTCCCACACTGCACTTTCAGACTCGATATATCTTGTAATTTTACCTTTTTTTGTTTGTTTTTTAAAGCAACATTTGTTAGATAAAGCACACAAAGCAATAAACAGCTTCTGCAGTATTGGAACTAGAAAAACTAGATCCATGTTGATAAGCCAGTTCATTCACTATAAGCAAATAGACTTTCACCAACAAAATATTACTATTGTAATATTTTTATAAGATTTAAATTTATGAAAATTTTTGAAACTGCTTCTAGTTTACATTTGCCTTTGCATCGTTTCTTTAATTCAAATAAAAACATTTTAATTTTAAAAGTCTACATTTAAACATTTTTTAAAAAGAGGAATTTTGTTGAAGATGACTTCCCTATTACCACCACCTGTGAAGTTCCTGAATTTTTCTGCAGCAATTAAAGAATAACAAATGTAAAATAAATAAATTTGTTAGACCTGACTTAAACCCCCTAAAAATTGGAAACAACTTAAATATTCCCAAAATAGATGAGAGATTAAATAAACTATGGTATATCATAACAGACATAATTTCATAATTTAGTCATTAAAATCATAGCCTTGTAGAATAATGAATGACAAATGTCTTCAGAATAACACTAAGTGAAAAAGAACGCTAAGTGGGCAAATGTCTTCGGAATAATGCTAAGTGAAAAATGTAGGCTACAAAGGAGTATAGCAGAATGATTTTAATTTTATTTAAAGTATAAATAAGTGTGTTAGTCTGTTCTTACACTACCATAAATAAATACCTGAGACTGGATAATTTATAAAGAAAAGTATTTTAATTGGCCCATGGTTCTGCAGGCTGTACAGGAAGCATGACAGCTTCTAAAGAGGCCTCAGGAAACTTTTAATCATGGCAGAAGGCAAAGAGGAAGCCAGCATTTCACTTCCTTACCCCAGAGCAAGAGGAAAGGGAGGAGGGGAGGTGCTACTCACTTTTAAACAACCAGATGGTGTAAGAACTCTATCATGAGAATAGCACCAAAGGGATGGCTCTAAACCACTCATGAGAACTTCACTCCCATGATCCCATTGCGTTCTACCAGGCCTTTCCTCCAACACTGGGAATTCCAATTCGACATGAGATTTGGGTGAGGACGCAGATCCAAACCGTATCAATAAGTTTATGTATGAAATATCTAGAAAAAAATACAACAAAATCAATCCAATTTTCTTCCTTCCGTGATAAAAGTCTAAGTGATTTATGTTTTCTACTTTTTTTTTTTTTTTGTATTTTTAGTAGAGATGGGGTTTCACCATGTTAGCCAGGATGGTCTCCATCTCCTGACCTCGTGATCCGCCTGCCTCGGCCTCCCAAAGTGCTGGGATTACAGGCGTGAGCCACCGCACCCGGCCAGGTTTTCTACTTTTTAACTTTCAATGTTTTTCACATTTTTTTATTGATACAGTTCATGTGAATCATAAAAAAATTAAAATTATTTTAATCAGTGATAAGTTTCCTCAGATACTTATGAATTGATAATAGTGTCACAGTGTAATCCTTATTAACTGCTAATGACCATAATAAATCCTTAATTCTAAATTAAATATCAAAATGAATTTTTTTAATATTTAACACAAAGAAATAAATTGTCTAAGTATATATTGAGCAACTACTAAGTAAACAGCTGGTATATAACGTGCCATGAAATGTGAAAGAAGTGAGATTGATGATCAGAGGAATTAGTATGTAAGCCATCTAAAATATAGGAGCCAGAGTTCAGTACAGTCATGGAAACAGAAAAATGGACTAGGGAAGAACAAGTAATGAACTATCGTGTTAGATACTGGTGCACATGCTGGTTAGATGACATTGTGGGTTTGGCTTATCCGTTAAAGTACAGTAGACACAATGCTGAGGCCCACAAAAATTAAATTTCTTTTATAATGCAAAGAAAAAACTAACTTCCAGGTTAAAAAATTAACTTTATGCCAACACAATTGTAAAATATAATTTTGTGGCCCTGATTCAATGACTTGCTAAAAAATAGCATTTAAGGAAGCAGTTCCAATATCTCTAGAGAACAGAGATGAGAAAGTGCCTAAGCCCAGCAAGACCATATATAACTATGGTACAGCAAACTGTGAATGAAATAAGGAGCCAGAAACAGAGAGCAGCTGTAAATTATAAGATTGGTAAAAGAAACAGAGAATCTTGACAAGGGATTTGACAAGTCATTATAACATCAGATGTGGATCTGATGACAATACAGTTCTGTAGAGTTGTGGTTGCTCAACCCCAAGAGAATTCTCTGTGACTGAGTTGCAGGCATCATCCTTCAAGACCTCCTGTTCTACTTGAGTGAAGATATTCTTTTCGAAATTTCACATTACACAAAACTGAGACAAACTACTATGCTGATTAACAGAATTAAGTTTTCAGAGTGAAAGACTGAAAATAGTGACATAAACAATTACAAATGTGATGTTCAATAAACGAATTGCAAGAGTACACAATGGAGAAATGCATATTCAAGAAGTTCTATGAAGGAGAGGTGGGTAGGTGGGTGGTTCACCCTAAGACCAAGACGGGCTCAGAGCATATGACTGCCACTAAAACAAGCAAACAAGTGCAAACTTCGACTTGGACTTTAATAGAAATATAATCTCTAGATCAAGGAAAATTATTGTGTTCAATTCTGCATATTATTTTTAGACAGAAGTTGCTATATTGTGACAAAGACACAAGAAGTAAACAAGTTGACAAGCAGTCCATAAACTACTGCTACCTGAAGAATTGGGATGTCTGGCCTGAAGAAGCACGGGGGTGTGTGTGTGTGTGTGTGTGTGTGTGTGTGTGTGTGTGTGTATTGACTGGGGGTGGGGCTTCGGTTGGGCCATAAGAAGCGCGGGGGTGTGTGTGTGTGTGTGTGTGTGTGTGTGTGTGTATTGACTGGGGGTGGGGCTTCGGTTGGGCCATAACGGCTGACCCTAAATGTTTGATGATGAGTTACCATGTAAAGCAGGAATCATTCTTATTTTGAATACTTTCTGAAAACAAAACCAAAGGATAACCACTGTAGAGGAAAGGATTTTCACGACACTATGAATGAAATATTTTCTAATAATTAGAGTTTCCCAGTAATAAAATTCCTGGAAAAGTAGTGAATTATTTGGTACTAGAAATATGCAAGTACAAATCAGAGTATTGACCAATAATGCAATAGAAGTGATTCTTGTAATAGGCATGCAGTGGGACAGGATGAGCTCTCATATTCTTTCAGAGTAGAATATTTTATTGAAGAGAGACACATACAAAAGACACAGTGAAGAAGAAAATGACAAGGGTGTATGGGAGGCCAGACATGGAAAGGCAAAGGAAAGAAATGAAAATCACAGCATGATGGTGTATGCCACACATCATAGGCTAAAATACAAGGGATACCAACTGGTGAGCTCCCCCTCACACATTGTACATGTCCTTATCCCTGTTGTACACCCAGCTCAGCCCTTTGCAGGGCACAGCTCAATGAAGCCACACCAGGGAATCAATGCAGGCTCACTGTTAAGTTAATTTATCTGCCTGCTCTTTCAGGGACTGTTAGAAGCACCAAGAGCACAGCCAGAGTGTCATAAACAGGTAAACTTTATAAGCAGTCAGCTCTTCAAAATCAAATGCTCTCAGTCCAAGGCAAGGAAAAGCAGAATATACAAAAGAAAATCTGTGAGAATTATTATTGTGAGTTGTGGTGGATACTATTAAGTGATGCCATTTACGATCATCAAAATAATGCATATTGTCCCCTGGAATTTGTTCTCTGACATGAAAACAACTGGAGAAAACTAGGGCTTTTATCAATATCTCATTTTAAGAAATGTGGATTAAGTATAAATAATTATAGAAAGAAATCAAAAGACAATAAAACAAAATGGAAGGCAGATTTAGACTTTTCATCCTTCAAGTATAAACCTGAATGTTCAAGTTTTATTCATTCCTATGCAGTTTAAATTATTAGCATTTTATTATGTAAAGCTGCAAATTTGGTTTTACAGTGAAATAAATTTTTTAACACCTGTTTCCTTTTCTGTAAAATAAAAGATTTAAGCAACATGATTGCTACAGCCCATTTCAATTCTGAAATTCAACAATTAATAGATTATATTTACTATTTACTACAGCCACCAGAGTAGATAATTTTGAGAGACCTTGTTGGAATTAGTCTCAAATCATTTTCAGATTCTCATTAGCAGGCAAGAGTTGAAATAATGGAAGCTATTATTTCCCAACTACCATCAGTATGCAAGTCTCAAAGAAAGATGATAGAAGCAAACAGTCTCAATTATTAGAAACATGGCTTTCATGTCAATAGGTTGAGGGTACAGAACAGAATGTTGATGGAACCTAGAAATGCTCTTTCTGCTCACACTATACAATGGTGCTTGTGGAATTAATTTCTTGTAAGAATCAAATAGGAGCCTTTAAGTCTGATTTGCGTGATTTCCCAGTTGCCTTTCTGGGGAGCCAGGAGTTTTATTATGAACCCTCACGGTGATCCAGAAGTTGAAGGGATAATTATTCTTGTTAAACGTCACATTGCAGTAAGATATCCTCCTAGAAATATAGGAATATGAAATAAGACTTAAAATTGGATTCTGCTATTCACAATTATGTGTGCCTTTTGACTATTTGAGCATATTCAGCATACAAAGCATGCCCATTAAGTGACATAAACTTCTACACTAGCTGAGAAATATCATGGTAGAAACTCTAAAAAGGAAGTATATGATTGAACATTTTGGCTCAAAGCCATAAGTTACTGTGAGCTCAGAATGAAAGATAAGATAAAAGCAAGGACTGTAAAAGTATCTAAAAATACATATGATACAAGATTTTCAAAATAAAAAAAGACAGCTAAAAATGGTGCAGAGATCCTTAAGAGCCTTCAAAGTGTATCTTAACAATAATAACTCAAATGTCCCTGAGAGAACCTGATTAACAGTGAGCAAGAAATCCCTATTAACCTTTACCAGCTTCAAATGATGACATGTTCACATCATTTCATGTAATAGATAAACAGGAAATCAAATAAGACCATTTTGGAGTAATTGGAATATTGCAATATAAAGAATCTGCCGCAGAGTAGATAATCAACAAATGTTAGTTTTCCTGGGAAAGCACCATCTCTAACGATTATCCCTGGATATTTTGTGAAAACAGTATACTTCTGGTAAATCAAAAATTCAATCAGAATATTCCTCCGTAGTTTAATTCTAAGCTACTCTAGTTCTGTGATATTTGATATACACCATAGTTTTAAATCCAAGACCCTTGTTCCAAAGAACTTGAAAGAGTTACTAAAATTAGAAACATACTCACTGTTAAGATGAACAGTGGCAAACACATACTGCATGGTCAAGAAATTATGTCTGATGTTTACATAGTCACAGGAGTTGTTCCTCACCAAACAGTAGTTCTCAAACTGTAGTAAGCATGAGAATCACTCAGAGAGTTTCCTGAAAATGGTGATGCTCTATGCTAACTCCCATTCTTTAGAAGGGCCAAGAAATCTGCATTTTAACCATCATCTGGGTATTTTGGAAACACATTTGTTCTCAGAGTATACTTGGAGAAACCATGTCCAAAACATATGTGGCTGCTTCTCAATGAAATTTGTCTGCTAAAATGAGAGACATAGAATCTTAGCATCGATGTGATTGTCTGAGTGGATTTCAAATGCAATGGCGTGCTAGTTCTGCCTTGGACAGATTTTCATAATTGAGTGGCTTAGGTGGGGACCCAATATAACTAATCAGAATGTGATTGATGCCACAGCTGATAAAGGTGAACTATACTCACTAATGCGCTACACTCTGGGAGCTTCTTTATGCTGGAGGCTGGGACTGTTGCCCAGACTCTGTGATTGTAATGAAGATAGGCATGGGTCTTTAATGTTTTCTACCTCCTACTCCAAATGCTGAAAAATGGTTAGTATTGAGTATTTTTATACATAGCAAGAACAAGATAGACTGAGTTGGAAATTCTAGTCCCATATATCCCACTGACAATATTCTAATATAATTTCTTTTCTAATGTTCTATTAAAATGATTGATGTCAAATTAAACCTTTGGAATGGTGGCTGGTCATGTGAAAAAGTGACAGTTGGCCAGGATGCCATTATTAACATTTTGCATTCAGACTGATTTAACAACCCTGCTCCACTCGGCATTATATGTGTGCATTTACCCCAATTTGTACTTCCTAAAAAATGCTCTTCAATGAATAAATTGGCTCATGACAGCTGTTCCTTACCTTTTTCTAAATCTCATTTGTAAATAAGGCTCAGCCACCTAGCAATCAAAAGGTTGTTATAGATTACTTTGTAGAATTTTTACTGATCCAAGTTATTTCTTATTTCCAAGTTATGGAAAATAACTCATTATGTATTTTCTCTCTATACACTCGTCAGGCTTTAAAAACCATGTCCTCCAAAATGGAGACAAAAGAAAATCAAAGAGGTAAATCGAATATGCCAAATTTTGGAGAGTAAAAATATCATTATATGCAAACCTGATACATTTCATAACCTGAGTGACATCCCTTAGACCTCCAGTGCACTGGCAAGCTCTAGAAACCACCTGATCCAAGCTATCAGAATACCAAAACACCTGAATGCTATGTCTAAAATTAGACTATTGAAATTCTCCCTGGATTGTCACTTTGCTTTATTACCAACACATTTTTTCTCTGGGTGTCACAGTTGCTTTAAATGAGTAAAGAGTGCCACCAAGCGGCAGCATGATATTCATAAATCAATTCTATTTTCCTTCAGAAAAAATATACTTTACCTTTGTTAATTGTGCTGACATTCTTAAGAGAGACAGGATTACTCACATGATTTAAAACATTTAATTTCAATGTTCAAGTTATATCTCAGTAAAAAAGCACATTTTGCTAGATTGATGAGCAAATTTGCTATGATACATTTTTTAAACATGAAAGTTCTATCTGCAGTATTTGTAAAAAGGACAGTCATGCATTGCTTAACAATGGGGATACATTCTGAGAAATTCATCATTAAGCAATTTTATCTTTGTGGGAACATCATAGCGTGTATTTATACAAACCTGGATACTATAGTATGCTACACACCTAGGCCATGTGGTATAGCCTATTGCTCCTAAGCTACAAACCTGAACAGTATGTTACTGTACAGAAGGCAATTGTAACACAATGGTAAGTGCTTCTGTATTTAAAAATATCTAAACAGTAAAGGTACAGAAAATAAAGTATAAAAGGTTTTTTTATAAAGCACACCTCTATAGGGCACTTACCATGAATGGAGTTTGCAGGATTGGGAGGTGCCCTGCGTGAGTCAATGAGTGAATGGTTAGTGAGGAACGGAATGTGTTAGTAATGGAATGTGAGCCCTAGGACATTCGTGTACACAACTACAGGCTTTAGAAACACTGTATGCTTAGGCTACACTAAATTTATTTTAAATTCTTTCTTTCTTCAATAATAAATTAACCTTGGCTTACTGGAACTGTTTACAAACTTTTCAATTTTTTTTTTACTTTTTGACTCTTGTAATAACACTTAGCTTACACACATATTGTATAGCTACACAAAAGTATTTTTTCTTTATATTCTTATTCTATAAGCTTTTTCTATTTTTAAAAGTTTTTATTTTTACTTACTTTGTAAAAATTTCTGTTAAAAATTAAGACACAAACACACATATTAACCTAAGGATCATGAACATCACTGTCTTTCCCCTCCATGTCTTGTCCCAGTGGAAGGTCTTCAGGAGCAATAGCAGGCATGGAGCTGTTATATCATCTCCTATGATAACAGTGCCTTCCTCTGGAATACTTCCTGAAGAACCTGTCTGAGGCTGTTTTACAGTTAAATTTTTTATAAGTAGAAGGAGTACACTCTAACAATAAAAGTATAGTACAGTAAATACATAAACCAGTAACATAGTTGCTTACTAACATTGTCAAGTATTATGTACTATACACAATTCTATATGCTATATTTTATATGACTGGCAGCACAGTAAATTTGTTTATACCACCATTACCGCAAACATGTGAGTAATGCATTTCACCATGACATTATGATGCCTATGACATGACTAGGTGATAGGAATTTTTCAGCTCCATTATAATCTGTAGGACCACCAACAGATATGTGGTCTATTGTTGACTGAAATGTCATTATGTGGAGCATAACTGTATTAATAAGAATCCAATTTCCAAATCTTATTAGCTACATAGTGACTACTGGTATGGAAACCTGCAGTTTCCAGACAAAACTTTTTTTATTATACAAAATGTTGTTTCTGTCCAGATATTTCAAGAATATCAGATCAGGGGCAAAAGGGTAATTTTTTTTAGTATGTATTGCATAATCCCAGCAATGCTGACATTTAATCCCAGCTCCACATTGAGGGGAAATAAGGTATTCTCATTATCCCAACTTCCTTTTCAAAGGACTGTGCAATTTTGTGAAAATAAAGTCCATAGATAGTCCTCTAAATCTATTACAGTTATTAGTTCTGCTTCTGTATTCATGTATCCCCTCATTAAACAAACATGTACTGAGCATCTACCCTGCCAAGAACAGTGCCAAGAAGAAAATGACTAGACCAGTCCTGTCCTAATGATAATCGTAACAAGCTGGGGTCCCTTGGTTCTGATTAGCTCTGTTGGAAACTTCAAGCTCTCTAAATCAAGACAATTTTATTTATAATAATGCATTATATTTGTGAGCATTTTCTAAAGCTTTCAGAATGATTTTGCATTTATAATTTCACTTACAGTCACAATGACTTTGACCATGTACAATAGCTGTGAGAGCTGTTAATTATTATCCTTATAGTTCAGGATGTGGTTAAATGACTTACCTAAGATGTCATAGGAAGGTGGTGCCAAGATCAAAATTAAAATCTTCTAACTTCCTAAACTGTGCTCTTTCTAGGAGGCCATTGCTCCTTATGATAAATACATTAAAATTAGCATGATATTTTGAGCAAGGTCATTATCACAGGAAGTTCTACAATAATTATAATGATGCTGACACTTGGTAAAATATTTTTGGAACTCTTGTTTTAAATTTCTCTTTCTGGGAATATAAGAAAATCAGTCTCATTACATGTTTCATTCAACAGAGATTTATTCAGTATCTGTCACTTGCATGCACTACACTGGGTGATATTGGGATATAAAGATGATCCAGTTGGCAAGAAATTTACAATGTAGTAGGCACAATGAGAAATGTCGCACTGGTGCTTTTTTACTTAATAGATTTGCATGGACATTGTATGGGCATAATGCATATTGTACTTTATTGAATCTAAAGTGTTATTAAACACACTATTTTATGTTCCAATAGGAGAAAATCACTGACAATTAAATTGTGACAAGTTGCTTTCCCATAATTTAAAAATAGTTTACATTTATTCTAAGAGCCATTTAGTCTTACTTTGACAGAGATCTTTTTTAACATATTAGTCTATTGCGTATATAAAAAGAAAAATACAGCAAAATAAATTGGTTAAGGCAATAATTCATAATCACCACAACTGCTGCCTCATCGTTGGTAACTGTAAAACACCAGTGATTATTATATATTCTCCAAGTTGAGAGTTAAAATGTAATTTAAAAAAGGATTTTTAGAATCATTTAAGGGCATATTTTCTGATCAGTTTCTAAAACAGTCATTGTGTAATGGAGCTAGAACAACTCATGAAAAAAATGATACAATGCTTTAACTCCTTTATTTTTGTCTTTGGGCGCTATTATTAATCACCACAGTAGTTGAGAGCATGCATTACAGAGTCCATGAGGCCCAAGTATTGGTTCTACTGCTTACAAGCTATGTGACTTTTTGGCAGATAAATGACCCTTTCTGAGCTTCAGAACCCCCACATGTAAAAATGGGAATAATGAAATAATGAAATTAAAGCATTAAATGAAATAATGTACTAACACACTTAACACATAGCCAGTAGTACTTTTATATTTGAGTGTGGCTAAGCTCTGGTTATTCTTCTCAATAAAATAATGATAACTAAACTGTTGAGTGCAGGAATAGTTTAAAAGGCTGCTTTCTCCCCTCTCCAGTGATAGAATGTGCAGCATCACCCTTTCAGCTGACTCTTGAAAGTCTTGGATCCCACTTTCACCAAGGTAAGAAAAGAATTAACTGCTCTGGCTTAAAGCCATTCCTGAGTAGCTAACAATTGACAATAAGAATAAATAAACCTGAGAGAGAAATTCAGTTTCCAAATTCATCCCTTATCTTCAAACATTTAAATATTAAGAAGACTATACAGAAGCATGTTTATCCCTAATATATTCATAAAGTCATAATCACAGTATTCCAAAAAAACTGAATTTAAACACTATCAAGTAAACTACCCCAGTCAGAAGAGGTACAAACTGAAAAAAATTAAATAAAAATATTGGAAAGCCTGCCGTCTCAGATAATGTGAGCACCAGAATCATGATAATGAAGAACAGTTCAGGAAAAGCAAGCAAGGCAGAGAATCTAAATCAGCTGGTTACAGTTAGCTTCTGGGTGACGGATAGCCTGGCTGCTGCCTTTGCTTCCCTAGTCCACCTCTGTGAGGGGTGGAACCAAGCCAAGCCCATAAATCAGACACAGCCTCGAGGTTGAGACTTGTTAATAGAACATAAAGACAAACTTCAGAGACAACCTGCACCTCTCAACCCTCCCTAAGGCTGGCAAGGCCAAATATCCTAAGGCACTGAAAGCCGTTTCTAGGTCACTTTCTGAGTAGGAAAGGAAGCTTTAATTTTAACTATTCCTCCGCTCCAGATGCCTGATTACCATCATTAGCACTTACCACCTATTATATGCTTTTTTAATTTAAAAACTATATAAAATTATAAAGAACAAAAATATTTTACTAATGCAATATAAGCCTTAGTATTTCTGAAAATGTATTTATCAACTGTGAACACTTTCTAGTCATTTTCATTGAAAAAGAATGCAAAATAATCCTATGGATAGAAGTAAAATGGACAAATAAACTAATATTTGTAAAGGTGTACAGTATTTATTTCCACTTCACCAGAGGGAGTACATATGTCTGTTTCATTATTCATATGCCACGATTTTAGTTTTCCTGCTTGCTAAATATAAAGAATGTTCTAAGCCCCCAGGCAACAGATTTCAGTAAATGATGGCTGAAATTCATTCACTGCATTATAGCAAAAAAAAAAAAAAAAAAAAAAATCACAGAAGATGTGAGTAACAATGTTCAGGGTTTCCTTTTCCGTGGAGCATTGTAACTACAATTCCTTTGACATCAAGAACTAGTCAGCCTTTGTGTATTATGAATGCTTATACAGCAAATTAATATAATATGAACTTTATGTTAATAAAAACAATTTTACCTATGCCTCTGTTCTCAAAGGTGAAAAATCACTTAATAGGTGGTCTACCGTGAACCTAAATGTTGTAATAAGGTCAAAATGATAATAAAGCAATTTTCACATTAATAGTCTTCTCAATGCTAAAATCATAATAACTCTCTGGATTGTTCTCATAAGAAGCTACCTTAGTTTAAAATTCAAGATACAAAATCAAGCACAGTTCTTTCTGTACAGTTGTTTTTTAGTCTCTCCCTCAAGTAGCATATTTTTAATGCCCTTTTTAACTTAGACATAATGAGAAACGCTACATGAAAATATTAAACAGATTTAAGTTTCTGATCTATTCATGGCCTTAGGTAGAAAACTTACATTTAAAATTATCAGTGAAGAATTAAAAACTATTTTATTAAGGCTATCCATTAATCCATGTCATCCTGATCTGGTCTAATTACAACAGTAAATTCTGTCCATGCAATATTACATTTCAGCTCTGAAGAAGATTAGGAATGTCACTGATGTAGCATAAGCACACTCAAAATGGAGGGAAAATATTTCCCACAGAATGCCACTCATGATGTCCTGATTATAATATGCAGGAGCTTTTAGTTTGCTTTCAGTGTCCCCAAAACTCATTTTGGAAACTTAATTTCCAGTATGGCAATGTTGGGGGATGGAATATGTGGGAAGTAGGCTCTAATAGGAAGCTTTTGGGTCATGAGTGCTGCCCTTCTGGGTGGCTTGATGCCATTCTTGCAGTAGTGAGTGAGTTTTTGCTCTCCGGAGACTGGATTAGTCCCCAGAGACTAATCCACAAGAGTAGGTTTCTATTTTAAAAAAGCCCAGCCTCTTTTTGCATGCACTTGCTTCTCCTTCCACTTTCTGCCATGAGTTTAATTCACATGAGACCCTCACCAGACAGGCTGCCCAGCTTTGGACTTCCCAGGCTCCAGAATCATGAGCCAAATGAACTCCTTTTCTTTCTAAATTGCCCACTCTCGGGCATTCTCTTATGGGAACACAAAATGAACAAAGACAGTTTTGAAGCTTCCAAGGCAATGAGAGAATAAAATCAGTAGTGAGAGAGAGGGCTATCAAGAAATATATGAAGGCCAATGAAGTAAAGATCATCAGGTACATCTTGGGCTGTTGTCAAGGCATTTTTGCCCTATCTGTTGTTCATTTGAAAATGGATATGACCTGATTATCTCTAACAGAAATCTCATTGAAAAATATATTTCTCATTGGCTCTGACACAAGCCTGAAATATACAAAATGCTAACTCCTTTAGGTCAAAATATACACTATTTTTTATTTCAGCCATTATCATTTTGGTTTCCATTTGTTGATTAGATTTGCCAGCAACTTGATAGAGCTGCAAAATATTAGTATAGAGGTGAGGAAAACTTTGATGACAAAAGGAAGATAAAGTCTGGAATGATTTAAAGAACTTCCAGAAATACTGTTGAAGAAAAACAGCAGTATTTGTGGAAGTATGGGAGCTAAGACTTGGCCTCTGAGAAGACTGTACTGAGTACCGAGAAAGAGTACTAAGATAAGAAAAAGGACTAGTTAAAATCAGAACTGGATGGAGGGGCACCAAAGATCAAGTATGCCTAATTCCCCAAATTTCTCTAAGTTTGGCCTTAACCATTAATAGAATAGATGCCAATCAATTCTGATGACTCTCAACTCACTCTTGAAAGCAAAAACAAGAATATATTGAAGGTATAGATGCATTACATGTATTAGAATATGACGTAAGAGACTATAATGATACCCTAAGTTTTTACACTTAAAAATCTGTTTATTGTTTGTTTTAATATTAAAAGCTATTTAAAGGTTTGGGAAAGATGGAATGATAAGATCCAAAAACACAAAATAACCACCAGTGGAACTCTGATTGGTTTGGGTAGACATGGTAGCCACACAAATGACTGATGGCTGTCAATCATCTAGTGAAGACCAGAACATGTGATTTTGTGATCTTTTCCTCAATATCTTCTCTCAACTCTTCCTCAGAAAGCACCAGAACTATCTACCTAAAGGGATTTTCAAGTCAACATATGGGAGTAAATAAGAAACTCTTTATACTCAGCATTTGGGAAGAGATTTAGTTAAGATATAGACAAGAAAGAGGGGGAAAGTGAAGGGTTCTTGGTGATATATATGGAAAAACAAGGACAAAAATTCGTGTGTGAGGCAATGGTTTTTAATTGCTTTCTAATGGCTGGACATTCATCTTATTTGATCTATATTAAAGCCAGGTGGAGAATAAAACCTGCCTACATTAATTCTATCACCTTCCCTAATTCCTAATTGCCATTTAACCATGGGAAGCCATAACTACCAAAAAGGGGGGCAGAGAAAGCAGAAGATATATGGTTTTATTTTTTATGTAATGTGTGCTAAAATATACTACATCAGAAATGAAAAAAAAGAAAACTAAAGCTATTATGTGAAATACTAGACTGAGCAGGGATTGGTTGTAGATAATTTTAATTCATTTATTCAAATACAAATTCTTAAGACCAAAATTGAGCTCTTTTTCTGTAGGAAGCCCTCTCCTGGCTTCCAAAAGAGAGGTACTGTATTGAATGAAGGGACTGGGGGTTAAGTCTCACATAACTGTACAGTCTTAGCATGGGGCTGGTTTTCAAATAAGAGTACTGTGGCAAATTGATTTTCTAGAGCTTCCTACATTCTATTCCCACTAAATAGTGTTTTAGTACAGGACTGCAAGGCTTCATTTGACTTATATAAATAATTTACCAATTCCTACCTACTTGAGAGAAAGCACTCTTCAGTGAATTTAAAGGACTTGATTACTCTTCATCCACTTTCTGAAATTTGAAGGAATGAGGTAAAAATCACTTAACTACCAGCCCTGGATAAGGTATCTAAAATAACCTTCCACACAGTTCTTACTACCTTAAGCAGTATACGAAATAAATTTACGTGTTGAGGAAAAGCAGCATAATTGTTGTTAATTCTGGGATCATCCTGGGAGGAAATCATTATAATACATGCATAACATAGTAGGATATGACCTCTTATGGAAAAATATCATCTAATTTCTTCACTAGAGATCAAAATAAGTAAGTAAGGCTCCTTTTCTCTTCCTTTCTGTGAGTAACTTCTAAATGGAAAAATGGCGATCTATTTTTGTGCTGGTCATGTTTGCTTTCTTTAAATCCTAGAAATAAAATGAGAGATCAATTAAGCCAAGAACCATGTAAAGTAATGAAAAGCTATGAAGTTCTCCCATTTTTCATTGTTTAAAAAAAAGCTATATCAAAACTCTGCCTTCTATCTTTTTTTCTAAAAGACTCAAAACAAATTGTGAAAGAATGTTCATTGGTACTTTATGTACTTGCTCCCTCAAAGGAAACCTCTTAAAAAACTCTTAAAAAAGGAAACCTCTTAAAAAACTCTTAACATACTGTAATTATCTAAATCTTGGGTTCACAGAACTGTTAGGCATTTCTTCTCTCCTCCCCAGCTCAACTACTCTCAACATTGCCTTTATTTCTCTCTTGAAGCTTATGTAAATTGGGGGGTAAACTTTTTCATATTTTTCCAGATGTTTCCTGAAAAAATTCTTTTCCAGAAACCATTTTGAACCTTTCACTTTGTTTTCAAGTGCATTTATCTGTTGTTTATGCACATGTTTTCTTTCACTAAATCACTAATAATCCCATCCTGGGCAGCTCAAAGTTAGCTGCCCTACTCTATTAATCTCTATAAAATTGGCTCCCACATGTGTCCAGTTTTCATGCAGGGTAAAAATAGAAATCTGTACACAGTTTCATCTTCACATCTTCTGCTTCATTTCTTGGTTATCCACCAGACTTTTTATGTTCTATAGCTTGTCTCCTGGAAATATGTTAGAAATATGTCCATATGTGTGATAATCCCTCATATATCCAAAAAACTAAGCCATCTCCCTTATTTTAAACTGCAGAAAAGTTTAAAATAGTGTTTTTCAGACAGTTTGAGTAGAAAATAGAATAAGTTTACCTCTTTTGTATTCACCTTGAAATAACTAGTAATAAATAAATTCAAAATTCTTAAACCTGTTCTTAATGAGTTTTAAACTATAGAGTTTTTGATGTGATGGGGTACCCTATGCCAAAAGTTATTGAATGAAAAAAAATCACCAAAGAAAAGCAAAGTCAAGTACTTTATCTTTGGCAAATATCTCTTCTCTAAGTAAAGAACAGGACCTACAGCTTCTTATTTCAGAAATATTTTGCATATTAGAAAATGGGGGAAACTAATACGAGAGTTTTTTAGGGCAACAGAATTAACCAGGTCACTGAATTGCTTTATTTCACAGAATTCAATGCTGGCAAAGAGGCGTCCCTTTAAAATTCCTCCTATGCCTTTCTTCAATAGTTATCATAGAGAAAGAGAACTGAAGCTTTGAGACTCTAATTTGTTCTACTCTCCCTTTACCTTAAGCATATGAAAGTGGAATTATGTTAAATACATTGTTGGGACCATGAAAGAGATCAATTTTTAACACCCTCCAGAGTTACACTGATCCAGTGAAAATCTTCTAAGTCTTCATACTCTACGTCATGCTTTTACTGCGGCATCATTCTCTATTAATTGGAATTTGGTGTAAGGAACATCTTGGATCCCTTTTATTGTCAAGTAACAAAGGGACATGAGAAGGTGATTCTTCCGAAAGGCCTTTCCACGTCACTGTTCTGAGGAGTAGACTTCTAGGAAGCCCCTGGTACAATGGCAATTTTTAAAAATCTCTTACTTTATGTTTTTCCTTTTATCTTCAAGTTTTTAAAAAACGGTAAGTCCTTAAGTCAGTGCAAAATAGAAAATCTCTATAAAGAAGACTATGCAGTAAACTTTGATTGATTTTGTGATCCACCATTTGCCACTTCTTGTGGTACTAGTAACCTATTTTTGTTCTGAGAAAGCCATCCATAATTAATCCATGCAGCGTGTGTGTGTTATAGAAAAAAAAAAGATTTTTATTTTGTTGGGATATTAATTTGAGTTCAGAATTACCACCTTTGCAGTTAAGTCTGAGTATCTCCAAAACACCTAAAGGAGTTGTTATTCTTATGAAGACACTAAAAGCGATATAAATACTTTTTTATAATTTTTATTGTTAATTTTCGTGGATATGAGATATTAATACTTAATTTAAAAATCTAATTTTTTGACAATAAAGAAACCTGACTATGTATCTACTTTTTCGTTTGCAGTCAAAAGATTATTACAACAATTTTATTAATCTTTCTAAAAAAATCAACTTACATTTGGTTCCTATTTTATTAATTTATTTTATTATTTTCTTTTTTCCACTTTCTTTGGTTATTCTTGATGTCCTTTTTCTAATTTTTTGACATGTCATCTTAGCTCATGGATGTTCATACTTTATTCTTTTTGTTACATTTATTCATGGCTATAAATTTCTCTCTAGCATTTCTTTACCTGAATTCCACATATTTGATAAAGGCTCTACTCCCATGGAGTTTAGGTTATAAATACATATATTTAGTTAAGACTGTCAGCAGCCTCCTTTCCAAACATACAGAAAAGGCCTGCCAAAGAATAAAGTTAATGCATAGAACAAACTAAAGCCAAGAAATCAGAAAAAAAAAAAATCTTGACCCATGATGTCTTTGACTTTCTAATTATATAGGAAAAAAATTACCGTCTTGGTAAACCTTGTTTAATTGGGTTTTTGCAATTTCAAAATGAAAGAATCTTAACAAATCTGACAAAAACAACCAATGGGGAAAGGATTCCCTATTTAATAAATGGTGTTGGGAAAACTGGCTAGCCATAGGCAGAAAACTGAAACTGGGCCCCTTCCTTGTGCTTTATACAAAAATTAACTCAAGATGGATTAAAGACTTAAACATAAGACCTAAAACCATAAAAACCCTAGAAGAAAACGTAGGCAATACCATTCAGAACATAGGCATGGGAAAAGACTTCATGACTAAAACACCAAAAGCAATGGCAACGGAAGCCAAAATTGACAAACGGGGTCCAATTAAACTAAAGAGCTTCTGCACAGCAAAAGAAACAATCATCAGAGTGAATAGGCAACCTACAGAATGGGAGAAAAATTTTGCAATCTATCCATCTGACAAAGGGCTAATATCCAGAATCTACAAGGAACTTAAACAAATTTACAAGAAAAAAACAAACAACCCCATCAAAAAGTGGGCAAAGGATATGAACAGACACTTCTCAAAAGAAGACATTTAAGCAGCCAACAAACACATGAAAAAAAGCTCATCACTGGTCATTACAGAAATGCAAATCAAAACCACAATGAGATACCATCTCATGCCAGTTAGAATGGCAATCTTTAAAAACAACAGATGCTGGAGAGGATGTGGAGAAATAGGAACGCTTTTACACTGTTGGTGGGAGTGTAAATAGTTCAGCCATTGTGGAAGACAGTGTGGCAATTACTCAAGGATCTAGAACCAGAAATACCATTTGACCCAGCAATCTCATTACTGGGTATATACCCAAAGGAAATCAATCATTCTACTATAAAGACACATGCACATGTATGTATATTGCAGCACTATTCACAATAGCAAAGACTTGGAACCAACACAAATGCCCATCAATGATATACTGGATAAAGAAAATATGGCACATATACACCATGGAATACTATGCAGCCATTAAAAAGGATGAATTCATGTCCTTTGCAGGACATGGATGAAGTTGGAAACCATCATTCTCAGCAAACTAAAACAGAAAGAATATTGACTATGTTAATGGTTGATAAAGCCCCCTGCACAAATTATTTCTTGTTCCATAGCATTTGAGAACCAGGTAGCATTTGAGAACCAGGATATACAACCAGTTTCCTGAGGATACTGTTTCTATTGCCAGCCTCCCTGAGCCATGAAGGGTCATGAGCTGTCACTTCTGAAAATCAACTAATTTCACACTCTTCTCTAAAAGTCTTGTTTTTGTGTTTGGTTGGTTTTTCCCAAGCCATTTTTCTGTAATTTAAGTGAGCTTCTTCTATGGATATAAGAAAACTTGACTCTAGGTCAAGATTTCACTATAAAATAATTGTGGTTATATATGCATAGTTACCTAGAACATAAATTACACACTTTCCCTCTAATTTCCATTCAATGATCATAATGACTTCATAAAAATAATTTCAAGCTGATCATAAACTATTTTCTACCATTCAAATAGCATTTTACTTTAAAGAATGATGCACAAACAGTGTTTTAGTCAGGTTCCCAACAGGAAACAGATGGAACACTGAAGATAATTCACAGAGAGTTATCTTAACACTCAAGATAATTACATAGTGACTATTTATAAAGGTATCAACAGAGTGAGGAGAGCCATAAAAGATGATTCTGTAACCAAGGTTTATTAACATCAAAGGGACAAAAAGAGGAAGCAGTTACTACAAAAGAGGAGAGAATTATGTAGGAGAGGCTACTTTGAAAGAAGCAGTTATATTCAGTTAGAGTAATAAAAACAGCCCTGGGCACCCTTACACAGAGGAAGCCAGGGAAGTAAATTCCTTGACCTCATTCACCTACTTCTGACAGCTTGCCATGACTTCTTATTGGTCAAACCCAACCAGAAAGGGCAATAAAGTCTGTTTCCATAATTTGTATAGCCAGTCTGGGGAAACAAATGGGGTGGGTAAAGTCTGAGAGGGGAGCTAAAGGAGTGAAGAAGTGGTAAAGAGATAAGAACATAAAAAGGAAGATACCTTAAAGCCTTTCTTATTAATTCTCATCTTATCAAAACTATTCAACATCTCACCCTAATATTTTTTTCTTGGTTGGAAATGTTTGTTTATAAAAATATAATAGGTTAGAGTATAGATAGGCTTCTGTATTAAAGAAACCCCTGAAAACAATGAGTTAAAGAAGTAAGCATTGATCTCTCAGACACCTCCCAAGGTGAGTGGCCAGCTTGGGAGAGTAGCTCCACTCCTTTCAGTTACCAAGGGGCCATGTTCCTTTTACCCTGGTGCTCTACCACACCCTGGGGCATAGTTCTCATCCCACAGTCACGTTGGATCTTGAGCATGTCCATGTTCCAGCTACAGGACATGGAAAAGGAGTGAGCTCAGAGCAAGTAAGTGAGTGAGAACAGAGTTGCACACATCTTCTGCCCATACATTTCCTGCCAAGGAACTTTGTCACATGGCACTCACAGCAAAAGAACCTGGTAATGTTTTAGTTGTGTGAACATGTCCCAGGAATAGGAGAAAAATACATTTTGCAAGGTGGATGACTAGCAGTATGCCTGTAGGTAAAAATCCTCAGTTTTCTTTAATTTTAAGAATTACAAGTGTGGATCTCGTAACTAACAGGTTTACTTTTAAAGCTCCTTCTTCTTCTTATAGGGGTCCCTTTTTTTTTTTTTAGCTAAAATCTACCTTTGTGAACATATTTAAATACAACCTAATAAGATTATTGTTTAATGATAGAGAATGATTTCTCAGTGTATCTCACTCAAATCATTCATTTCATTTTCAAACACATGATGGAGGACCATCTACAGTTCTATTCCTACATTTTTCTAATCTCAACAAATCCAAAGTTTCCTATTCCAAAAGGATGTGCCTGATCTTAGCAATTAGTTACTTTTAATGAAAATGAAAAGGGTTATGGTAAAAATGTGTAGATCTAACCAAGATATTGAATAAAACCCTATCATATTGAATAAAGTAAAACATGGGCTAAATATAATCATATTGGGATCTGAGGAATGATACAGAGGCAGACTCGGTAAATAGGCAGAAGATTGTCAGAAAAAGAGCAAAAGTAATACAGCTCCCACAGTAACATGAACTTTAGTCAAATATGAACTGTGGATTCTACCTGCATCGCACCAGTGCTTCCTGGAATTGTGAAATTCTTGGAGGCACTCTTTTACATTTACATACTAGATTTCTCACACTTTAATTTCAATTCCTTAGGAAGATAATTTATTCTATGTGCCCAAACTGAGATTTCTGAATCCCTTTCCTTTTTAAAACAAAGCTAGGCAGAAGGGGAAATGTCAGCCCAGTAAAATCCTTACAATGTACCTGTTTTAGATGTGTCTAAAGACCCCATGCATTGCTTTGTATATTTAAGAAAGAACTGCCTGACCTGAAGATTAAATTATATTTTCTAAATTATTATACAAATACCAGCATTTGACCTAGTCCCTTTAGCATAATTTTTGTATTCTTTCAAGATTTGCTAACTGAATCATTAAAACATGGTTGATGCCATGAATTAAATCACTGTTTTTTCATTTGTACTTGTACAAATTAATTTCAAATACAATCAAGAAAGTAAATATAGCAGACATCTTCTGTCTTGAAAGATACACAGAATACTTGGTGGAGATTTTAATGTGGTTATTAGTATTCAACCTATTATCAAAAAGCCTCTTCTTTAATTATCAGTCTTTTGCATTTAACATCTTTTATCAAGATTAAGAGGTTCACATTTTTAACATTTTGCACTTGTTTTTGAATGAATAGTTTCATGCAAGTCCCAAGTGTGAGTTTAGCAGAATTTCAATACTTCGATATTTATACAGATTTCTAAACTAACCCAGAGGTCACTTTGAATCTATCTTTCTTCTTATCTATTTTATTGTATTTCTACTTCAGTTATTCTCTAACTATATCACTTTTCAAAGAATCATATTGTATAATTCAGTCAGTGGATTGCTTTTATTTCTATTACCATTATCTATCATTTGACTTGTTGAGTAACTATAATTATCAGAAAGCTTTTCTTTAAACTTTTGGGCAAAGATGATGGGCATTAAGTTTGCAACTATCAATATTGCCCAAAATCAAAGCTTTCACATGAAAAAAATTCTTTCCAAATTCGCTTAATTTTAGAAATACAAAACATAACTAAACAGCAGCTTCAACTAGGGCAAGCCCAGAAATACATTTAGTAAACCATGTTCAATCTTTTCAAAATTCAAAGATATGCCCTTCTACACTCTAAAAGTGTCTGAACATTCATTTTTGAAGTTATTTTTAAATACACTCCTCCAATAAATTAAAATTCACATTATCCTACATTAAAAATATTAGGACAGCATGAAGTCATTTGTAAGACTTTTTTCAAAAAGTTAATCATAAATGCTTAAGAATAAGAATCTTTGAGGAGTCATTTAACCTACATATACACCCACCTCCACCAATTTTGGAGACAACTGCATCAAACATACCCCAGCCAGATGGAAATCTAAATCTTATAAGAAACAAATTCTATAATCCACTACTCACTGTCAGGAAATTCTCCTTTATGTTTAAACTACAAAGCTCAGGCTACAGATTAAGCCTGTTTCCTCTAGTTCTATTCCTGGTGGAGGAGAAAAACAGATGGACACAGTCCGTCATGTAGTTGAAAACAATAATTAGGTCACTTCTTTCTCCAACATAAGGCAGAAAAAAGTTCTTTGGGTATTTTTGTATGTATTTTATTTCCTAATCATGTAAGTGGAGGCCTTCTGTGCAAAAAAATCAGCTGGTAGGCAATGCTTGTTCTTAGGAGTCTCATCTTCCAGGTATCAGCAACCTCATGTTCCCTCCCTGTTTGTCCCTGTCTGAAATACCTTAGAATCATTGCAGAAGAATATGAGATAGAAATGAGAGGAACAAGGGCTTCATCAGTTAAATGAGCCTAGTGCTTCATTTTGGCCTGAGAGCTTAATGGATCTGCAGTGAAGCAACAGTCATACAGCACATTGAGATACCAAGTGAAAGAGGTGCAAGTTCCTATTAAGGAGTCTGAGCAGTGAAGAATCTACATAAGCAATAATGGGAACTGCAGGTGTGCATTCAGCATCTGGGACTTCTATCTCAAGGCAAAGTGTTTTTCATTTCAGAAAAGCTGAAGGGCAAGAATGGCCATTGGAATAAAAACTTAAATTGGGTCTAGAATGGAGAGCAATCTGAAGACCTCAGCCATATGGAGAAAGTGTAAGAAAACTTGGAGAACGTGGAGGTATTACCAGCTTCCTACAACCTGCATCAGAGGTTAACACAGAACACAAGGGAGGAAGGCAGACATCAGTAGCAGAGAGCTCACATTTGGTTCACAGACATTCATGCCTTGATGGAGCCAACTTGATAAAAATTTACCATGCAGGATTTCAATCTTAATTAAGAATTAAGCTTTTCAATTATGTATTCATATTTTTTTAGTATTTACCACAAACATCTACTATGGAAATAGCAGTGAGAAAAACAGGGGAAAAAATTCCTGCTTTATGGAGCTTACATTCTAGTGTGACAAAATATAAACAAGATAATAAGATACATTATATAGTGATAAATGCTATAGTGAAAAAACACAAAAGTATGGCTTTTTTTTTTTTTTTTTTTGGCAGCTGCAAGATTTCATAGAGTGAAAACAGAGCTCCCATACAATGGGAGGAGACCCAAAGGGGGTTTCCACCGCCAGTTCAAATGCTTGGGTTTATATCCCGATCATTGTCCCTCCCCCTGTGCTCTCAGGCGATACATGATTTGACTATTTCTTTACCTCCTGCTTTTAGTCTAACTGGTATTTTAGTGAGCCCTCTTTACTACCTGATTGGTCAGGTGTGAGCTGAGTTACAAGCCCCATGTTTAAAGGTAGGTGCTGTCACCTTCCCCAGCTAGGCTTAGGAATTCTTAGTCGACCTAGGAAATCCAGCTAGTCCTGTCTCTCAGTTCCCCTTCTCAACAGGAAAACCCAAGTACTGTTGGGGAGGTTGCCTGACGACCGCTCTAACTGCTTCCTGCTGAATTGGGGTGTAATAGGGGTCATGCAGTTGAGATTTCCTCTGGAGAGGTGCCTTCGATGTCATGAACATTGGAGCATGGGCTAGCAGGCCAGTCCAGCAGTCCACGGTAGATCTTAGTCATGGGCTGCATCTGGGGCTCCATTTGAAGAACGATTTGTAGTTTTACAGTTTGATTCTGGAAGAGACAAACTTAACAAGGAGGTTAAAGATACAGGGATTGAAATGTATGGCCTGAAGTGTAGGGGATTATTTCTTTGGCACACTTCACAGGCCCTTGATAGTTTTGCAAAGGCTTGGCCCAGTAAATGATTTGACCATCTGATGGGTGCTATCAATGTCTGAGTAAAAGGTTTGGTGAAGGATTTTAAGTAATTTCCACTGGTTAGCTGCAGGCAAAAGTATTTTTCCTTCTTTGGTGGCTAGCCATCCTGAGGGGAGGAAACTATGTCCTTGTGAGGGTCCCCATTCTATTTCTTCGGCTGAGTACTGGGGCTTGGTTTCCTGGAGGGGATTACCCCATACTAGGGGTCTTTCTATAAGCTTTTCTAACAGAGGGTCCCGCCTTGTGGCTCTTTTGGCTTCAATATCCACTTGCCGGTTCCCTTCTATTTCCCTTTGTTTTCCTTTCTGATGACCCCATCTCTTCAGGTTTCTGTACAGCCAATAACAATCTCTTAATGGCTTCCTGATGTTTGATAGGAGTTCCCTCAGAAGTTAGGAATTCCCTTTCTCTCCATATTGCTGCGTGGGCATGGAGGACTAGGTAAGCATACTTAGAGTCTGTATATATATTTACCCTTTTTCCTTCTCCTAATTCTAGTGTATAATGGCCCCTGGTTTTGCTAGGATGTCTCTCCCTAACAAAGGAGTGGGGCTTTCAGGCATAATTAGAAAGGCATAAGAAAAGAGTAAAGTTCCCCAGTCACAAGTAGTGGCTGGGAGAAGTATCTAATGACTGCCTGTCCTAGGACCCCTCGGATAGTGACAGATCTGGAGGACAGTTGTCTGGAACAAGAGAGTAAGACTGAGAAGGCTGCGCCAGTGTCCAGGAGACAGTTAGCGTCTTGGCCCTCAATGGTCAAGCATACCCGGGGCTCTGTGAGGGTGATGGCATGGGCTGGCGCTTGCCCCGGGCACCCTCAGTCCTGCTGCTGGATCATCTAGTTAGTGGCTTCTGACTCAGAGGACCTTCGTCCCCTGGGGCAGTGGGCCTTCCAGTGATTCCCTTAACATAAGGGGCATGGACGAGGGGGCGGCTTATTTCTATTCAGACAATCTTTTTTAAAGTGTCCTTGTAGACCGCACTGGAAGCAAGCCCTATTAAGCGTTTGATTTGCCCAGCCTTTCCCTTTTCCAGAGCCTCCAAAGTCCACTTGCCTGAGGGCCATGACTAAAGCGGTGGCCTTTTTTCTTTTATCCCATTTGTCCCGTTCTGCCTGCTCCTCCTGATCTCTATTATATAAAACCAAGGTTGCCAAGTTCAATAGGGTTTCTAAGTTTTGCTGCGGGCCTAAGGTGGACTTTTGAAGTTTTTTCTAATGTCTGCAACTGACTGAGTGATAAACTTATCCTTTAAGATTAGTTGACCTTCAGTAGAGTCAGGTGACAGAGAGATACGCTTCCTCAATGCCTCCCTTAGTCTCTCCAGAAAAGCAGTAGGATTTTCTTCCTTTCCCTGTGTTACAGTGGACATCATTGAATAATTTATAGGCTTCTTCCTAGTTTTCCTTAGTCCTTCTAGCACGCAAGTTAGCAAATGTCTGTGGCACCAATATCCATGTTCTGATTCTGTGTCGCAGTGAGAGTCTACACTAGGAACTGCCTGCTGGCTTGTGAGGAATTGCTCTCCTTCTTCTGTTGTCATCCTATTATTGACCTGACTGAGATACCAGAGATCGCCAAACTCTTGGGCTACAGTTATGGTGGCACTTCTCTCATTTGGGGTTAGTGTCTGATCTAGCAGTAACATTGTATCTCTCCATGTCAGATCAAAGGATTGTCCTAACCCTTGTAAAACACCAATATAGTCATCAGAGTTATCTGAGAATTTACCTAGGTCTATTTTAGTTTGCTTCAAGTCTGACAGGGTAAAAGGTACATACACTCTGACTGGGCCAAATTCTCCAGAATACATCTTAGTGGAGTTTTTCCTTGCGGGGAACGTTTCCCATCTGAAAAAAGAACATATGGATGCCAGCAGCCCTAGTCATTTTCCAATGAGCATTAGTCATAGAGCATCCTTGATGGTCCTAATGCTTATTCCTTTCCAGGGTGCATAACCACCCATGGACCTCTGCTTATCGGATTAGTTACGCTCACCGATGTAGCAGTCCTACACCTGTTTTCCCGCCTTTCTTGACCACAAAGAAAGGGGTCTGGGCTGCTGGATTCTAGTGGTCCTTTACCACCATGCCTAACATTGCCTTTGTGCTCAGGGGTGAGTTCTAGAGCTGGGCTGGGTTCCTGAGTATTTCATAACAACCCAGCTGCCCCATCAAGATGCATTCCCATAAACAACAATTCTTATGCAAATTTGTTTCAGAGGGGGTGTAGGTAACCTTTTGAGTCAGGATTGAGATAGAGTTTCTTGATTCTGTAAGTATTTTAAGGCTTGGCTGAGTGCAAACAGCTTGTACCTTTGAACAGACCAATTATTAGGCAATTTTCCTAACTGCTTCTATAAGAGTTTCCCTATCAGTTACTGAATACCCATTGTGGTTTTTTGTTTTTTTTTTCAATCACCCAGGAGGAACCATCTATCATCCTGTCCTGAAGGGAGTTTCTCCTAGGTCTGGTCGGACTTTTGTATGGTAGTTAAGATTTAAATCCCCTGTTAGGAAATCTGCCAGGTTAAGGAAATTTTCAGTGGTTAATGTTAAGTCATCTTTTTCTAACGGAATAGCCCCATACTTTAAGATTTTTGAGTTAGTAAGCTACCTTTCTGCTTTTTTTACTTAGGATAGTTCTGAGGTGTGCTCACAATGAGGTTTCCTCTAAAAGTTATTTTTCTACTTTCTTCTGCTAGCAAAGCAGTTGCCTCTACAGATTAAATGCATTTGGGCCATCCGTGGGTTACTGGGTTAAGGATTTTTGATAGGAAGGCTACTGATTGTCAGTGTCCTCAGTGCTTTTGGGCTATGCCCTTGTTTATACTGACAACAAGGTGGTATTGGAGTGTTACAGGGTCACAGAGAAGATGTTCAATTATCAATTGTAGGTTTTAAATTTACCCTGGCTTTTAAAGGAATAGGGTGCACTGTTTTTTTCTTTACTACTTTTATCTCTCTCTTTCTGTCTCTGCCTTTCTCTTTCCCCTCTCTCTCTTTCCTCTCTCTCTCTTTCCCCTCTCTCTCCCCTCTCTCTCCTCTTTCTTTGACTCCCTCTTTTCCTCTTTCTTTCCTCTCTCTCTTTTTCTCTCTCTCTTTCCCCTCTCTCTTTTCCCTTTTTCCCTCTTTTCTTTCTCTCTTTCCTCTCTCTCTTTTTGTAGATGGATTTTGGGAACACAGCAGAAGGATGTTCGCTCATTGCCCCCATTTGCCACTATAGGAATATGCATCTCCCTTTAATTTACTCAATTCACTTTCATCCTGATCTATCATGTTGTCATAGACCTAGTTCCGTTTGTTAAAGTACTGGGTTATCAGTTCTAAGGTCCTGGCCAAGAAGCCAAGGCTTGGAGATTGTATTGCAGAGGGGTAAGCAGGGTAGCAATTGGGGGAGGAGAGCATCTTACACAATGGGAGAGCAATCCTCATAGCCATTTACAAACTTGGGGCCACAGCTCAGAATAGAACTTGGGGCCCTGGCAAGGGTGGTGAGGAATGGGTCCCACATAACTGTCCATGTCAAGAGCTATATACCTAAATTGGGAGGGGCACCAGGGACAAGACTCCCTGGGTTCATAGCCTAGTTGCCTAAGGACACCACATAGAGCTTCCTTGGATCCCTTTGAAGATACCACTTGCTCTAATACTTAGGAGAGGAAGTGAAAGTCTGAAGCATTAGTATCTAGGAGTCAGGGATCAGAGAAAGTAGAATCAGAGGTAAGGAGAACTTGGGGGCTACACTTTCAAGAAAGTTGTGGTCAGGACCCAGGAGGTATGGGTCAGAAGGAGAGGTAGGGGTGCACACATGGGCAACTGATGAGTAGAGACTTCTGGCTGCGCCATGATCTCAACCAGCCAATGCCAGGAGTTCGGGACAACAGCTTTCTGCCTCTAGTCAGCCCTTGGCTTCCCCCAGGAAACTGTGAAAGTGGAAGCTGCTTCCAGGCAGACCAATGCTCTCAACCCAGAAGGGTTGGGGGTTGTTAGAAAGCCTTTCCCCAGGAAGCCTCACACCTGAGTCTTAAGTCCGGCAGCCACACTAATCGTTTTTAACTGGCCAACAGGTGCCCAGTATTTTCCTCCAACTCTAAGGAAGGATAGGACAGAATAGCAAGCCAAAGTGGTCCAATATTACTCACCGCTTTGGAGAATCACCATACGGTTGCCACCAAATGTTACAGGTGGGTCTTTGTTCTTAGAGCTCACAAGATGGTGGCGGCCACTCCCAAGATGGAAGCAAGCCTTTTGTTCTCTGATCTGGGGTTCTTGGCCTCACGGAATCCAAGGAATGGAACCTTGGTCCATGCGGTTAATGTTATAGCTCTATTAGAAGCCGTGGGTCACAGAAGAGAACCGTGGAACCCAGTGACTAGTGTTCAGCTTGATTAGGACAAATTCCTGCACTTAGCCGTGCAGGAACAATGGCAAGCCTCTAGCCCAAACGGAAGCGGCAATGGGTGCCTCGCTGGATCAGAAATGCAGCAGACACCCTGCCAGATCCGGAGGGGTGGAAGTCAATGGCGGGTATGCGACGGCGGCAAACAGCAGTGGTGGACAGTGAGTGAAAGCTCAGCTCGAGCAGGAACAAACACGGACCAGAAAAGTGTGCAGCTGCAAGATTTAATAAGTGAAAACAGAGCTCGCATACAATGGGAGGGGACCCAAAGGGGTTTCCCAAAAGTATGGCACTTTAAGAGTATTCAAAACTCACATTTTACTTAAACCACAAGAATAAAGTTCCTTTAAATTCATCATGGCAATGAACTGAATGAGGAGGAACTTGGGGAAGAGACAGACTCTGTAGTGCTCCCAAAATCTCAGAACACAGCCGGCCCTTATTGCTACCCTTAAAATCTAATTTCTCTATCCACCCAATCAGAGTGGATTAGATCATAATAATGTATTATATGATAACTAGAAGGCTTTGAAACTATTAAATACTATACAAACAAAGCTGTAGTTTTTTAATGCAAGGCCATTACTCATTCAGGTGGAGCATTATTAACTATAATGTCACTTGTATCAGGCTGCTGGATTGTATCTTTACCCTTTCCTGTTTAATACTTTTGTCAACATCCTGGATGGAGATATAGAAAGCATGGTTATCAAATTCACAAATAACACTAAGTTGAAAGGCAGAGCTAATATGTCAGATGACAGAATTTAGATTCACAATGATCTTGACAAGGCAGAACACCAAGATGAAACCCATGAAATAAAATTAACACACATGCTATAATTAAAAGACAAACAAATGCCCTGCATGTGTACAAGACAGGAGAGGCCAGGCATGACAGCATTTTTATTGAGGGGGGGAAGGGGAGAACTAGAGGCTTTAGTTGATCTCTAGTTGAACATCAGTCAATATTTTGCTACACAGCTGCAGAAAAATTGTCTTAGGCTGAATAATAGAGTAATATCTAAATCAGGATAGGCAATATCTATCTGGAAAAGAGTATTCATCCCTGGGTGCTATACTTAAGAGCAATATTAAGAAATTTTTAAATATTCATGGAAGGATGGCAGAGAGGAAATACATACAGTCCTCATACCATATAAGGAATAGCTAAAGAAATTGCTTGCTGTAGAAAAGAGAGCTTACAGAAAACTAACACATATTTTCAGATATTTTAAAGGGCTATTACTGGTAAGAATATCTCACCATTTTTAAACATATTAACTGTATGATATCAGAAAAGATCACTGGCCTTCAATGCCTCAACTTTTTAAATCTACAAAATAGAGCTAAGATTATCAATTCTATAGCACTATTGTAAAAATTAACAATGATATCTCTAAGGTGTATAGTACATTATATGGAACATAGTTTACACTCAACAAAGGGTGGGTATTTTTACTCTCTATTTCTCTAAAAGGCAAACTAGGGCTAATAGATGAATTAGGCAGAGCCATGCCACAAAAGAAAGAAGGACTCCTAAAATAGCTCCTTCCCTTGAATTTTCCATGAAGATGTTAAATGACTATCAGAAAATCTGGGAAGAGATCCGTCCATTGGGTGAAAGTTGCACTAGACAGTTTCTAAGTTCTCCTCACTGCTTAAGTTCGTTTCCAATGTTAAGATTTTGTAATTCTCTCTGATTTCTCACCATGCCTCCAATAGATGTATTTCTGAAGTTAATAACACTCAAACAAACCAAGATTATTTGTGCTTTACTTTGTGCCCCACACTAAGAGGTGGCTATATTTATTATCCTCTTTTCACAAATGAGGAAACTGAGGCAAAGATTAGGTAAGTAGTTTGATGAAGTACATGCAACTCATTACTGGCAGAGTAACAGTTTGAATTCAGAACCAATTGGGTTAATTGTGACTCATCAGCCAGACCTTCTCTTTCTACCATTGCAGCAAGTAGGCCCCAAGAGGTCCTGTGATGCCCTAGGGTTTGTTTAGTTATCTCCAACCTGTTCTACAAACAGATTTAATTTTTAAAGTACAGTACATTTAAAATCACGAGGTACCACTGATGACTGAATTGAAAAACATATTCTACTGTATTAGGAAATGTTATGTTCCATAAACATTTATTTTGTAAACTAATAAAACTCATTTCCTAAGTGCTGAAACTTTTCCTATTTCATCCATTTTGGATAGAACTCATCCAGTGATGAACAGCCCACTTCTTGTTCTAGTTTATTCTAATTTATAGAACACACATTAACTTGTACATCTGCCTCAAGATCATCACATCATAAATACTAGTTATTGTCTTAAGGCATCATTCATTAATGTCCTAAGGATGTATTGATAAATGCACTTGCGTCAATGTAAGCAGTTTCTAAGTGAGGGCCTGCCGGATTCTCCAAAGAGTAAATTCTATGAGTCATAGGGTCTTATCTTTGTGATAGGGTCCTGACTCCTCACAAACTTTTCTTCCTTGTTCCAGATTATTTCAGATAGATGTAGCTGCAAGATAAAAGACTTCCAGTTATGTAAGATGGTGCTGCTTACTCAAAGCAAATTCCAGTGCCTATCAGATTATAAAATGACAAAATGCGGGAATTGGTGCACGGTGAGAGGCCAGAAAAAAATTAACTGAACAATGTGGTTTATGAAGTCACAGGAAATTTTGTCTATTGAAAGGGGTGGATTGTTGAGAAGTAGAGAGAATTTGTAGGAACAAGTAAGAAAGTTTAAAAGTAAATTAGCTTCAAGGAAGTAAAATTCTATGGCACCTTAAACCCTAAATCATTTTTTTCTGTTTATTTGAGTAAGTTTTGCTTCCTTGTTGTTGTAATTGGTTTAAGTTTCTAGTTCTTATGTCTCCGTGTGTTTAAGCTTTCAATGCAGGTGCATTTAAGCTCTCAAATGTTTACAGAATTTCCTAGCATCCTCTTTCCTGAAATTTAAATAGCTTCATATTCAGTTTCATAAGTATGTTGTTTTTTCTTTCCATGGGAAGCTACAACCTAAGACTTATTTGGAAATTTACGTTTAAAACTTAGGATAATCATCTACAAATATTTCTCTAGAAAAGAGCTTTCACCTAAGTAAATAGATTTAGTGTGCCAAATCTCTAATTTGATTGACACTTGATGGCTATTTATTCCATTGGTTAATCTTTTGCTTATCTTACCAAATATTTGAATAGAAGCCTAACTAAAGAATACCTAAAGAATAAAAATAATAAAGTTTCATAGGGTAAGGGACACTTTATAATTAATGTATCGATATACAAGAATCCTCAAATTAATTTTTTTTTTTTGAGACCAAGTCTCACTTTGTCGCCCAGGCTGGAGTGCAGTGGCACAATCTCAGCTCACTGCAACCTCTGCCCCCCAGGTTCAAGCGATTCTCCGACCTCAGCCTCCCGAGTAGTCGGGATTACAGGTGCCTGCCACAGTGCCCGGCTAATTTTTGTATTTTTAGTAGAGACGGTGTTTCACCATCTTGGCCAGGCTGGTCTTGAACTCTTGACCTTGTGATCCACCCACCTTGGCCTCCCAAAGTGCTGGGACTACAGGTGTGAGCCACCGCGCCTGGCCTTCAAAATAATTATTAATTCAATGAACACTTATTGAGGTCTACTACAGTTAAGCACTTTGCTAAGTGCTAAGCATACAAGGGAGTTTAGTGAAGAAATAGCACATCTCATACAACGTAGTAACCATTCAGGTGACAGGAACCCAAAAGGGAAAGCACTTACCCAAATTAACAGAGTCAGGGAAGACCTAAAGATAGGAATTAATCACAAGAACGGTGTGGAATTAGGATAAGACAAAGGACAAGCCAGCCAAAGAAGACAATGACTGAAGACCAAGAGGTAAGAAAGTATGAAGTATGTGGAAAAAACTCAAGTGTGGTTTATGTGTACTGTTTCCAACTGGTCTTCTCACTTCCTCTTTCATATCCCTTCTATAGCATTGCATTTCTCATTATTTCCCTGAGACATCTTTTATCGATATCAACAATGACCTCCATATTGCTAAGTCCAATTTTAATAGTTTTCTATTGCTGCTGCAATAAATTACCACAAGCATAGTGGTTTACAATACAAATTTATTATCTTACAGTTCTGCAGGTTAGAAGTCTGACATGGGTCTCACTGGGCTAAAATCAAAATGTTATCAGGTTCTTGAGATTTTTATACCGGCAGAAACACGCAAGTTTGCACTAAAAGAGAGAGTACAAAATGAAAGAAGGCTCTCAGACTGATACCACTCCCTGCCAAACTCTGCAGGCAAAAAACATACTGAAAACTACTCAGCTGCAAACACGTGCTACCTTCATGAAAATAGAAAGACAACGCCAAGCATGGAGCACGAAACCCAGAGGGTAGAGCTGAGAGCCACTGAATGTCTGTAACTCATATCTCATGCCTGTCCCTTCAGTGTGTTCTGAAAGCAAATAACTTGCTTCTTCTTGAGTTTCATGGTGCCCCAGATAGATTATACTCAGAGACTTACTCATAGCTGATTTAGATGATTTAGATGATGAAATTTCACCACAGGAACCCTTACTATGTGGCACTCCACCAAAGTAATTTTACCTTCACAGCAACTGCATAGAGAGGATATTATCATTATCCCCATTTTATAGATAAGGAAACTAAGGCTTAGAGAATTTAAATAGTTTGCCCAAGATCAAGCAGGTAGTTGAGGATAGAGATGGGATTTTAAGTGAGCCCAACTCTGGAGCACAATCAAGGCTCTGCTCTCTCCCTATACCTCTGCCTTTCTTCTCCCCACCCAACCCTACCCACATTAAACGTGGGTAACTCAATAGAACTCATTAAGTTTCTTCTTCATCCCCTATCATAATACTAATGCACTAAAACAAGAAAATATATACTGTACATGCTGCACGATAACTATACTGAAACATACTTTTCCGTTTTAAAAAGCAAATTTTATGTCATTTGTTCCAAAATAGCCTGGGAGACATGACTTTTGTTTTGAAATATATGTACATAATGTTCCCTCATTCTGCTCATGGGCAAACTGTGGACGTTACGGTATGCACAGTAAAATACATGCTGTATAGTAAAGGACATATTTACTGCAGATAAAAGGAAAATTCTGCCTCCCTTTGAGTTCTAAAACAGAAAGCGTTTTTGTTTGTTTGTTTTTGTTTGTTTTTTGAAACAGAGTCTCACTCTGTCGCTCAGGCTGGAGGGCAGTGGCATGATCTTCGCTCAGTGCAACCTCCGCCTCCCAGGTTCAAGCGATTCTCCTGCCTTAACTTCCCAAGTAGTTGGGATTACAGGTGCCCGCCACCACTCCCGGCTAATTTTTGTATTTTAGTAGAGATGGGGTTTCGCCATGTAGGCCAGGCTGGTCTCGAACTCCTGACCTCAGGTGATCCACCCGCCTCGGCCTCCCAAAGCGCTGGGATTACAGGTGTGAGCCACAGTGCCCAGCCAGAAAGCAGTTTTTTATAACAGAGATTTCCCATCTTATTTCATTGACGCCTTTATGTATTCAATAAGGAAGGCACAGGTACCATTTCTCACATGAGAATGAAAAGCATTGTGTGTAGGTACATTTTTAGAATCTCATTCTACTCTCTGTTTTAGTTAGATCAGGGTCCTGTACAAAATACCATTACCATGTAGCTTAAACAACAGATATTTACTTATCACAGTTCTGGAAGCTAGAAAGTTCAAGATGAACGTGCTGGCAGATCTGGTTCCTGGTGAGGGCTCTCTTCCTGGCTTGCAGGATAGCTGCCTTCTTGCTATGTGCTCACATGTCCTTTCATCAGTGCACGCTTATGAGGAGATCTCTGTGTCTTTCTCTTTTTGTAAGGGTACTAACCCCATCATAAGGATCCCATCATCATGACCTCAGCTAAACCTAGTTACCTTCCAAAGGCCTCACCTCCATATCAGGTGTTAGAACTTTAACGTAGGAATTTTGGGAGTACACAAATATTCAGTCCATAACACCCTCCTACAATGTGACTTGCATTACATGATTATGAAACTAGGAGAAAATATATTGAGTAATTATCTTCTGGTTGTGTCAAAAATCTTAATCCCTTGGTGAGCAAAATACGTGAAAGACAAGTTTCAAGAACACAATTAGAAAGAATAAAGTCTATTAGATGTACAAAGGAGGGATGATGCCTGGTTTCATGGAAAGCAACAGATTCATAAGCTGTGACTTGGATTTGTGGCTCTGCCTGAGATAGTCCAGCAATGCCACAGTCAACTGAAAAAATACAGAAAAGATTCCTTTGAACCCAAATTATATTCACACACCATCTTCAAGTAAACTGATAGAAAATCAGTAATTACTATATTTTTAGAGGTTTCAAGAAGAATTAAGGCACAGACATGATTAAGAGCTTATTCTGACAAGAATATGAAAAAGAGAAATGAAAAATCCAACTCCTCAGGCCAACTCAAACTGTAGTTTTCTTCCCAAATAGCCAGAATGAAAAGAAAGGATTAAAGGGGGAAGAGAAGAATCTAACATTAACTTGAACCCATTTGGAGCATACACTTCAGTGGGTATTGTATGATATTTTATTTAATCCTCATAACGACATTGTGTGATGCAAGTTTTAGAAGTCATACATTATAAATGACAAAACGTAGACTCTGAAAGCATAATTTGTCCCAGATCACACAGTGAGGTATAAAGCAGTTCTTCTGTAACTAAGCGGGGTGCTCTTTCCAATGCAATACAAGTAGGAAGTAATGTAGTCTATGATCTGGGGTACACAGAAAACCACCCCAAAAATTACTGCCCACAAAAAAAGGCATAGTTTCCCAAAAATCACTCTTTGTTAGTCTTTAAAGCTTTCTAGTTACCTTTTTCTAATTCATTTGTATATTTAAAATCCAAATAGTTGAGCATTATGCCCATGATGGACCATTAAATGAAAAAAAAAGTTGTCAAAAATACAGAACAGACCTAAAGGAATTGTACTAACAAAGGAAAATGTAAATGCCCCAAAAATATGAGTATGATTAGGTAAATTGTAGAGAGATTCAGCCATTAGAATAAAGACATCTACTACCAAAAGACTGGGTTAAGCTATAATATTAAGTACAAAGATCAAGACACAAAGTAGTATGTCGAGTGTGATTACAACTATGTGAAAATGCATAGAAAATTAAAGGCTGTACATGAAGTATAAAAATGATGCACTTAATGTTACAGAATTATGAGTAATTATTCCCTTGCTATTGTCCATATTTTCTTTAACAACAATTAACTTTTGTAATTTCTTAATCAGAAATCAGTGAGCTTTTAGAAGCAACATGCTTAAATCAAGCCATACAATTGCTTCCTCCTTGAGGGCCAGAAACAGTTACTGTTTTTTGTTTTTCTTTTTCATTTTATTTCCCACAGTGCACAGTTTCTTATACCCAGCTGATGGTTAATTTTTTTTATAGAATATATTTTTTTAAAGGACAGACAAAAGCCAAAAACAATCCTCCTCTGCTTAGGAAGTATATCCTACATAAGCTTACTAATTAGAGATTTGTGTTAATGAGTTCCTCTTTTAAAATGCAAATGCATCAAATAGCTAAATGAGCATAAAGTAAGAACAGAGAACACACAAAAGGAAACACAAATGGCTAATAAACATTCAATGAAAAGTTCAACCTCATTAATAATCAAATAAGTCAAAATCAAAATATCAGTTTTCTTTATGAAACTTGCAAAAATTTTCATGGTAATTCTTAACACCAAATGGGGTATTGACAGGAATATAAATATATGCCTCTCTCAAAAATTACTGCTAGAACTGAAAAATTGGACTAACTTTCTGAAAGCAATTTTAGCAAAATATTCCTGACCTTTGACTCAAGAGTCCCATTTTTAGGAATACAGTTTAAGAAAAAAATTATAAGCCTATGTAAAAGACTTAACCTTCATGGATGTTCAATTTAGCATGATAATCTCAAAACAATTTAAATAATCTAGGCTGGGTGTGGTAGCTCACGCTTGTTAATCCCAGCACTTTGGGAGGTGGAGGCAGGCGGATCATGAGATCAGGAGTTCGAGACCAGCCTGCCCAACATGGTGAAACCTCCACCTCTACTAAAAATGCAAAAATTAGCCAGGTGTGGTGGCACTTGCCTGTAATCCCAACTACTCAGGAGGCTGAGGCAGGAGAATCGCTTAAACCCGGGAGGCAGAGGTTGCAGTGAGCCGAGATGGCACCACTGCACTCCAGCCTGAGCAACAGAGCAAGAATCCATCTCAAAAATCAATCAATCAATAAATAAATAATCTAAATAGCCACGATAAAAGAGAACTAAATTTTTGTCTATCAATTCAGTAAAATACTAGTCTTCATAATAGAATTTTCAAAAAATAATTGAATATAGGAAAATTCTCTTGATATATTATTAATTGGCACAAGTAGGTGCAAATTATGCTATACATCATGACCTTGCTCTTACAAGAACTTAAGCATAGGTAAAGTATTGGAAGAAAATAGGAGTAATGCCTTTTCTTTGGCTGATGGTATTTAACATGATTTTTGTTGTTTTCTTGATTTTCTTTTATACCCAACTGTTCTAAGAGAATGCTTGTTTGTATATAACAGGCATTTTAAACATGTGTTCTACCTATTCTAGTTGCAATTTCTGGGATTGATACCAAATGAAGAAAATGTTTCTACACAAAGATATTTATACACAGCTTTATTTAAAATAGTAAAATTGGGGGAATATCTTTAACTACCTAGTTAAAGGTAGTGTGGCACAGCTATAAAACAGACCATATTGTCTTTTAAAATTCTGTTTAATTCCTTTTACTTCATGCAAATTAATCATCTTATTTTAGTGTGATAGCATGAAAGATACTAGGACAGCTAGGAAGGAACACACACACACACACACACACACACACACACACACACTCCATCTTCTCCCTTAAGACCTAAATTCAGGATTGGAGTAGGAGATCAAGTTTTCTGTTGAGAACCAGCAGCAAAATGAACAAGATTATTTCTCTCTGTGTGAGTCTGTGCTACATCTTCTAACCACCTCAAACATAAACACACATAGATAATAGAGAGTGAGAGTTTTAATAATATGAGAAAAATTTTGATACCACAGCTAAATTTTGAAAAGCAAAGCAAAACTGTGAAATACACAGTGGAACCTCAGCTTTTTATGTGCACATGAAAGTGGCCTACTGAACAGTGTTTGAATTCAGCGGGACAGAAGGATGATGTGGTTTTCTTTTCCTCCATTCTCTGCCTTCAAACTGCTCTATGGAATTTCCTTTTCCCATTCTTTAATGATATCTTGGACAAATCCTATAGCTTCCCAGTCACCTTTCAGTGTTAAAAATTTCCTTCTAGTCTACTGGAGTTTAAAATCCCACATTCACTTTGGGAGACCAAGGCGGGCGGATCACGAGGTCAGGAGATCGAGACCATCCTGGCTAACATGGTGAAAGCCCGTCTCTACTAAAAATACAAAAAATTAGCCGGGCATGGTGGCGGGCGCCTGTAGTCCCAACTACTCGGGAGGCTGAGGCAGGAGAATGGCGTGAACCCGGGAGGCGGAGCTTGCAGTGAGCTGAGATTGTGCCACTGCACTCCAGCCTGGGCGACAGAGCGAGACTCCGTCTCAAAAAAAAAAAAAAAAAAAAAAATCTCACATTCATTTCTGTGCTGATCTTGGCCTTTCCCCCAGCTGGAGAGAATCTGGAATGGGGACCAGCAGACCCTCCATCATTCTTCCTCTCTCATTTGCTCTTTTCCTTCTAGCGCTTCCAGGAATGGGTAGGAAGAAAAACTCCAGAAATAGACCAAAGGTGTACTACTAACTGGAGCCAATCTAGCCTCTCCTAGCTAAAACAGGTTCTCAGCAGGCCCTGAGGGAACCCCCTCACTAAATAGTTTACTGTCATGAGAATTCATGTCAGCTTAGCTGCTTCTTAACCCCATGCCACTCCACTTCCAACTCTAGCATGAACCCGAAACTCTGCTGGTGTCCCCTTTCCAAAGGCCAGTTCTCTCAACTGAGATGTGGAACAGACTACTGAAGCCCAGATACCTTCCTTGATGTTCCCTTGGCTCTCTAGAAAAGGGCATATCTGGCTGGGCAAGGTGGCTCACACCTGTAATCCCAGCAATTTAGGAGGCCAAGGAGGGCAGATCACCTGAGGTTAGGAGTTCGAGACCAGCCTGGCCAACATGATGAAAGTCTGTCTCTACTAAAAATACAAAAACTAGCCTGGCGTAGTGGAAGGTGCCTGTAATCCCAGCTACTCAGAAGGCTGATGCAGGAGAATCACTTATACCCCGAAGGCAAAGGTTGCAGAGAGCGAAGATTGCACCACCGTGCTCCAGCCTGGGTGACAGAGCACCCAGGACACTGTGATTAATTGAATAATGAGAACCCTATATGTCTCATTAATAATGAGAACCCTATATCTAGTCTCCCATAGACTAGAAGGAAATATTTAACACTGAAAGGTGACTGGGAAGCTATAGGATTTGTCCAAGATACCATCTCAAAAAAAAAGAAAAAAGAAAAGAAAAGAAAAAGAAAAAGGCACACCTTTGTTGTGGAAAACAGCTTTATCTCTCTCCCACCCACCATTGACTTCTCTCCCTATCCCCACTCCATAAAGGCATAGAGCGCAGGTCATTTAAGTCTGGAGCATAAACATCCAACTGAAGAATAAGAGTCCTACCTCCCATTTTCTAGTGGCATCCCAATGTTTAGAAGGTATTCTATTGGAAGCCTGCTACACATGATGTTCTCCTGCTCCAAATGACAGCTCACATTTCTAAAAGCTTATATGAGTCCCTTGAGTATAGTACTCATACAGAGTAGGGAAAGGGTGAGCATGAAGGAAGACAGGCCAGTTCTTCCACCTATTAATAACCTCATGAAGATACAACCGATGCTTCCTGAGGCTGTCTTTAGAGTATGGATGGGCATGCTACCTGTGTGTTTTGTCAGTTTGTTTGTTGTTAGTTTGGATATTTGGTTATATGCTTGGTTGATCGGTTTTGGGATTTTAGAAACAACTCCAAGATAACAATGCAAGATAACAATGATAAAAACATTCTTTCAGCATTCTGTGACCCAGCAAAAAGACTAGAAGAAAACATCCTAATAAACTACAGTGTTATTAGTGCTTCTTACTAGGTGGCAATACTATAGTTTGTTATTACCTCCGTAGCTTCTGAAATTTTCTATTATTTTAAAGAGAAATGCATTAAAAATCAAGAATTTTAAAATGATATTCAAATGTAATGAATGCATGCTTTTTATATGAAAGTGATTGAATAGTCATCCTCATCTATGGTTATAAAAAGATTAGTAATAAAGTGTCTAGGCACTGGCAGATTCTTTACTGCTCAGACAAATCAAGAAATTATTGTTTTTTTAAATAATGGGTTTAACCTACATTGCTACACACTCACACAAACACACATACATACTCAGACGAGAGAATCATACTTACTCCACATAAATGTTGAGTTATGTTAAATAACTAGGAATTCTGAGATCAATAATAAAGTTCTAAAAACAAAGAAAGACTCACAATTCAGATAAGACAAGGTAGATCAAATAACGGGCAAACTGGAAATGAATATCGAAACCTATTATTAGATATGTATCATATAGTCTATTTAGGTTGTAAACATTATTATTTTTCATATTATTGAAGCTGCCCCACTCATTTTTAACATATTCCTGTATTGCCTTCATAAAATTCTAAATTTAAAAATTCCTCTAAGCATTGAAATTAATGTGCATACCTATGCACACACATGAATACACATGCACACACACATACACCCACTGGCTCACATATATAGGGTTCTAGTTAGTTGATTAATCACCAGGGCAAAATTATATATATATATATATATATATATATATATATATATATATATATATGAAAAAATGTATGAATGGGACATCACACACACACACACACACACACACACACACACACACACACACACAGGCTCGCATATATAGGGTTCTCATTATTCAGTTAATCACAGTGTCCGGGGAAAGGCACTTAATTAAGCTCACTTAAAACCATGGCAGGCCGGGTGCAGTGGCTCATGCCTGTAATCCCAGCACTTTGGGAGGTTGATGTGGGTGGATCACGAGGTCAGGAGTCTGAGACCAGCCTGGTCAACATAGTGAAACCCCATCTCTACTAAAAATACAAAAAATTATCTGGGTGTGGCAGTAGGCACCTGTAATCCCAGCTACTTAGGAGGCTGAGGCAGGAGAATCACTTGAACCTGGGAGGCAGAGGTTGCAGTGAGCCGAGATCACACCACTGCACTCCAGCCCAGGGGACAGAGACTCCATCAAAAAAAAAAAAAGTGCAAAATTTTATATATATATTTATATATATATATATATGAAAAAAATGTATGAATGAGACTTGCCTTCACACACACACACACCTACAAGCTCACATATATAGGTTCTCGTTATTCAGTTATCTCAGTGTCCAAGGGAAAGGTACTTAACCAAACTCACTTAAAACTCAGGGTATAATTATATATTATATGAAAAGAAAATGTATGAATGGGACTTCACTTTGAAAAACATTTTAAAAATTTTTTAGTTTTATCTTCTATTTAATGAAATGGAGGTTGTATTTGCAACCATGTACCAATTCTTAAGATTTGCAAAAATAAATGAGCCCATCATTACTTTTTATTTTTTGAAATTTTTCACACAAAAATTGTATAGTATGTTTTCCCCTCAAGCTAGACTTTCACAGCAGAATTATACAAAACGGTTGTTTTCTTGCAAAATTACTTAAGGATCCATCCATTTTCCCAAAGGGCGTCTCTTAATCCTTTGAAATTCAAATCATTGTCTTTTGAAAAACCTGTCTAGTCATCATGATTGCCACTTTTCCCTTCAACTGTTAACGCATCCAACATCCTCATTTATCAACAGCTTTGCACGTGATTACAGCAGTTTTCAAATACTATCACTTTCCACAGACTTCAGAGGTGGTTGTGAAATTTGCAATCACGTGTTGAAATTTGTTAGAATTTTATTTGCAGAAATTGGATGTTTACACCTTTATGTAATCACCTATAAAGACAATGACTAAAAAACAGTAGCATTTGGTGGATTAGAAGACACATGTTCAGGTTATGAACACTTGCATTTTCCTGACAACACTTTTATTTTTCTGACAATGATATCCAAAAGGAGATTGGATAGTTACTGTTAGGACAGTGAAAAACCGTGTGTGTGTGTGTGTGTGTGTGTGTGTGGTTGTGCATTAAATTTCTGGACCACAAGAGACTTACCTAGGAAACTTTTAGAGCTAAAAATGAATAAAACAAGGTAAGCATCCTCTCCATTTTCAGTCCCAAAATATCGACATAGACTGGGGAACTTAAACCAGATCTTATTGTAAATTATAGCCAGAAAATCACCTCTTGCGAGAATTCAACTGCACTGATGGATATTTTAACTACATTAGAAAAAGGGAATAGAAATATAAGTTAGGAATATGAGACATTTCAGGAGAAAAAAATGAACTTTTAGAGGTGCTGAAGTGTGTACATTTGGTGGATTTATGCTTCGAACAACTAAATAAAAGTACAAATAACCTGATTAGAGAAAGTTGTAAATGTACAGAAAACAATAGTTGACCACTTTGAAATGCTGACAGTATCAGTCAGAGCCACGACACACACATCCACACTACCTTTGTTCTTATATGGTGCCTAATTTTAATATTAATTAATGCAGTAGTATTAATTAAATGCTACGTTGTGCTAGACTATTTTAAACCATGCAATACAACCTAAAAGACAGATTTAAAGTTCTCCTGTATTGAAAATACAGTTGCACTATTTCTAGCATTATTTTATATCTTAGTAAATCTAATCTCTCCTAAACATTTTCAGACTTCTTAAGTTACTTCTGACTTCTAGAATTTACCAGAAAATTCATTAACGAGTTCATTAATTTTTCACCAATCTATAAACCTTATCACTGCCGTTTTTATTAGCTAACATATAATTAACTAGGTTTGACTTTTTAATTTTAGGGACAAGTCATTTACCTATATTATCAACAGTTTTATAATAATTACTTTTTTACTCCATCAGATTTATTTCCCTCATCAAGCCCAGTAATTAGGATTCCATGCTCAATATCTCATGGTCATAGTGACATTTATATCTGTCTTTTTTACTCTCAGTCTTTACATACTGAGTAGCTTGTAATCTTAACTCTCTATTTTAAAGAAATCAATAGCAATAATGTGCACAAAATTGCAGCATTAAATACATTACAGATATATCTATTAACAGAAAATTTTGATCCTCATTTTCTGACATTTACACCACGTATGTCCATTGACTATCAACTTTCTTCATGTAGTAAAATATAAAAAAAATTTAATGTTAGTAATTGTTGACAAATAGAAACAAGAATTAAACAATGCCATCTCTATTGAAACAAATCTGAATTCATGGAATAGTGCTAATATTAATTCTGCCAGCAGATTCATACACCCCTTGTGAGATATGGTTCCTCTAAAAAGTGAAAGGCCAAAAATACATAACAACAAACAGCATAGCCTCTTTTAAAAAGTTCTAGAATGTCCATAAATTGTTTTCCTATAAATACACAACACAAATTTTAAAAAGAAAGAAGAAAATGGAGTCACCAGAGCTTTGCTTAAGCTAAGAATTCAGTTAGCTAATTCATTCAATTAATTTAGGCTTGACATAATATATTACCCAAAATATTTTTCTTCCTGAGATTTAAAAATTCTACAAATAAGAGTTTAAAGAGGCCACACGCAGTGGCTCATGCCTGTAATCCCGGCACTTTGGGAGGCCAAGGCAGGCGAATCACGAGGTCAGGAGATCGAGACCATCCTGGCTAACACGGTGAAACCCCATCTCACTAAAAATACAAAAAATTAGCCGGGCATGGTGGCTGTTGCCTGTAGTCCCAGCTACTCAGGAGGCTGAGGCACAAGAATGGCTTGAACCCAGTAGGCGGAGCTTGCAGTGAACCAAGATCGTACCACTGCACTCCAGCCTGGGTGACAGAGTGAGACTCCATCTCAAAAAAAAAAAAAAAAAAAAGAGTTTCAAGAGCAATCGTCTATGTCATTTTTATTCTTTCTTTTGTTTGCAGTATTATAATCAGTATTTGCAGACAGCGTCTTTATACGAAAAGGCCAGTATAACCATGGAATACTATGCAGCCATAAAAAGAATGAGTTCATGTCCTTTCCAGGGACATGGATGAAGCTAGAAACCATCATTCTCAGCAAACACAGGAACAGAAAACCAAATACCGCATGTTCTCACTCACAAGTGGGAGTTGAACAATGAGAACACATGGACACAGGGAGGGGAACATCACATACCAGGGCCTGTCAGGGGGTGGGGGGCCAAGGGATGGACAGCATTAGGACAAATACCTAATGCATGTGGGGCTTAAAACCTAGATGACATATTGATGGGTGCAGCATACCACCATGGCACATGTATACCTATGTAACAAACCTGCATGTTCTGCACATGTATTCCAGAACTTAAAGTATAATAAATAAGTAAACAGTCCAATATATTTTTAATGACAATCTTTCCTTTCAAAACAAAATCTTTAAATGAAGGTTGGGCATGGTAGCTCACACCTGTAATCCCAGTACTTTGGGAGGCCAAGGCAGGAGGATCACTTGAGGCCAGAAGTTTGAGACCAACCAGGGCAACATAGTGAGACCCAGTCTCTATAAAAAAAATAGAAAAATTAGCCAGGTGTGGTGGCATGAGCCTGTCGTTCCAGCTACTCGGGAGGCTGAGGAAGGGAGATCACTTGAGTATGGGAGGTTGGGAGCTGAGATGATGCCATTGCACTCCAGCCTGGGTGACAAAAACAAAACAAAACAAACATCTTTAAATGAAGTGTACTTAAATTGGGCAAAACTCATGTGAAAGGCAAGAGAAATTGGTTTCTGAAGAGCTAGATGCTACATGAAAATTAGGGAGTAAAATTTGTGATCACTGAAAAATAAGTGGTAAACACTTGAAAATAGTTTGGGAAAGTGCTCTTTGAGATTTTACTGTAGCATAAATTTAATATGCTATGTGTTCACTTAGTGCCAATACAAACACTGTATTATGTCTTCCATTCAATATTTTTTAGTCTTCCAATACCTATGGTATTGCTATATTTAAACATTACAAGATGTAGCAAAAAATAAAAGCTAAACATGTGATCTGGCATATAATATCAACAATACAAAGCATATACAAAGAAGCATTTTTCTGCTAAAGATACTGCAGCCCATGGTTATAAGAAAAAAATTAAAAGTTAGCAAATGATCTTATCTAAGACATTCTTTAAATAGCTCATACGAATGTGAACAAAAATGTATCTGCTTTGCAAAAGAGAACACTGTTGACATTTTCAAGGTTTCAAGTTTAGGTAAGCAGCCATATATTTGAGAGTTTAACTAGAAATCCCAAAAGCTTTGAGGTCTGCCATATTAAATTGGAAATTCACATTAGTTTGTGTTTACATGGTCCTTGCTGTCAGAAAGATTTTCCAGCAACAGTACTTTTTTTTCCCTAAAGAGTCCTCTAAAATTTTTAAGCAGCCTTGAAAGTGGAAATTTTTAAAATTAAATAATGTATACTAGAAAGTGAATGTGGAAACTAGAATTGTGAATGGCTCGTACCTGAATATATTTTGTCACTCAAAAAATATTAATTCAGTACCAACAAAATGCAAAGTATAAGAATATGTAGGACACGTTTATAAGAGCTTACAATTCTTTGATAAAAGATTTATACAGGCCAGGCATGGTGGCGCACACCTGTTGTCCCAGCTACTCAGGAAGATAGCTTAGGCCCAGGTGTTCAAGTCCAGTCTAGGCAACATAGCAAGACCCTGTCTCTAAAGACAAAAGCAAAAGCAAACCAAAAAGCTGAACAAAGATTTATACACACATACACATATTTATATGTATATCTATATAGAGAGAGAGATTATATAAATATATATAAACACAAGGCAAAATGAAGTGTATTATGGTCTGAAGATTTCTGTCCCCCCAAAATTCATATGTTGAAGGCTTTATTCCCATTATGGCTCCATATGGAGAAAGGGTCATTAAGTATTTAAGATTAAATGAGACCATGAGGATCAGGCCCTTATCCTATAGGATTAGTGCCCTTATAAGAAGAGATACCAGAAAGGGCACTCTCATGTGCTTGCTTGCTCTCTCTTTCTCCCGCCCTTTCTCTCTCCCTCCCTTTCTCTCTCCACATGTACTCAGAGGAAAGGCATGTGAGGACACAGTGAGAAGGTGGCCATCTGTAAGCTAGGAAAACAGCCCTCATCAGAAACCGAGCCCTGAAAAAACCGGATCTGGGACTTTGGGCCTCCAGAACTGTGAGAAAATAAATTTCTGTTGTTTAAGCCATGCAGTCTGTGATACTTTGTTATTGCAGCCTGAACAGACTAAGAGAAAATGAATGCCAAAGAATAGCAGAGACAATTTGTGCTGAGTGACAACATGAGGGAAGAATGAGACCATGATGGGCATGAGGAGGGGAAGATCGTCTAAGGAAGAGGGAACCTATCTGTGCATTGATTTGGATACGGAACACAGGTTAGTAGGAAGGTACATGCAATTTATAAAGGTGGAAATTGAATATGTTTGGGAGACGACAAGTACCCATCAGTCCAGGGTAGATGTTGAGAGTTCAAGAACAGAAAGAAAGAAATGCAGCAGATGAAATAAGCAAGCATTTTCTTCTCTATCTCATCAGACTCAATTAAAAGAATTTAGTCAGCTCAGAAGATGTTCCCTGGGTAACAAAGAAAATATCCATTTAAAAAGTGTTGTGCTCAAGGGATATCACTGTGTCTTAGGGCTGGAAAGAGTCCAGTGAATCTCAGACCAATTAAGTGGGTCCATTGTCCCCAGAGGTCCAGGGCGAGGCAGATCCTACAGAGCAGAAATCTCTCCTCGCCATCGGATAGGCTACATTGTCCCCAAATCGGCCAACAACACAGTTTTCTCTTGGAGAGGTGTGCTTATTTAGCTAAACCACCAGCCAAGGACACTAGCAGGGCCACAGGAAGCATGCACAGGAATTGGAGAAGCCACCTCCACCCTTCCTCATGAAATAGAGCCCATTATATGTCCAGAGCCTGTGAGGCAGCAGAGGTGACCATCAACTTTAATCCAGCTGAAGTGGAAGGTCTTCCTTAAAACTGAAGATCCTGCTGCTTCCCACTGCTGTGGGAAGACTGGAGAGCTCCCAAGAGACAGATTTATGCAGTTACTTGAAGAGCCAGTGTAAAAGGAGAGTCCAAGGAAGGTAGAACTCTCACCTCTATTGTCATTTCCTTCTGAGAATGCCCTAACTTCGCATATAGAATCTTCATCTAGAGTATTAGTCAAATCAAGGTAAAAGATGGTCAGAGAAAGGGAGAAAGAGAAAGGAGCATTCCACTGCATTTATTTTGGGGATCCCTCAGAGACAAAGGGCGTTGGTTCCTCTGGTCATTACTGGCTATAACCCTAAAGACCATGGAAGAAAACTTTGCAAGGAGGAGACATTAAGAGTAATTTTTAAATTGCAACCAAGATGTATTTTAAAGGCTATCCTTTGAGGGAAGCAGGGAATAGAGGGACGTCGACATCTCTGTTACAGTAAGTTAAACAGGCAGTATGGAAGCCAGCATTATAGCTTCTAAGCAATTAATAAGTAAACACTGCAGGAAACTAAAATGCTTCATTAGTAAATGCTCACAATTCCACAAAGGCATGATCTTTGTTCATTTTTCCAGTCGAAGCAACATGTCTTTTTCTTAAATTCCCCTTTGTATTGGTTCTTCTAAATACAGTAGCTAACTAGAAGAGTGTCAGCTCTAATTGGATGATAGTCTGGAGCCTTCAAATCTCCCAGAGGTTAAGTAATGTAGCATAGAGCTGGTGTTATTCAAAGGGAATGTTTTAATACACTGCGAAAAACATAGATGCAGCGTCTGTGTGAACTCTAGCCAACATGCTGCCCTGAAGAAGCACTGTATGGTCTCTAACACCTTAAGTTCAGCAGTTTTAATTCCCACCTCTGTGTGATGTTTGACAGTTCATTCATTTAGAGAGCTTTGGGAGGCACAGGTGACTGAGTTCAGATAGTTATTTTAAGGATATGTCGCTTCTGTTTATTTTTTAATGCTAAGGAGAACACACTGAGTGAGTCGGAGGAAGACCTTTTGCACACAAAAGAAACTGTTCTTTCAAAAAGGAGAATGTTTTGACATTTAAAGACTCAGCATTTCTTTGGCGATAGACTTCCTTAAGAATAAAACATTGATTGGTAGCAAAGTTAAACAGTGTCTAACCACATCGCACCCTCTCTGAAGGTTGGGTTTTAAAACACTCAAAGCAGTAAAGCAGGGATCTAGGTGAAAAAGCTTATTTAAGGTTTCTATATTATTTGTTGCAGTGCCTTGACTATGCCTGTTTGTCTAGGCTGCAAAAGGTATTTATGAACTTCAGACTTGATTTGAATTAGAAACATTACCAAAAATTGAAGTTAATAGGGTCAACAGAGACAGACTATGTTCTTTACACCAAAAGAAAATATTGAGGAAATATATTCTTTGCAACACTACCTACAGTGTTTACCCAAGCAATCATAGTGTGGTTGTTGCTCAGTTGTTGGGGATTATGGATGTGTAAAGACTGATCGAAGAGGGAAACAGAAAGATGAGGAGATTTGCGAGACTGTGAATGGAGGGTTAGAAACCTGGAAGAACTGAGAAGGTCAAGACAGGATGTATAGCAAACGAGGTCCAAGAGCAAATTGTGGTACAGTCAATAGCTACATTCCAAAGAAAATATGTCTTATCAAAGTGTTCATAGAATTTTTTTAAAGCATTTAAATAGCATTTAAAAACTGATGAACTTACTAATGTAAAAAGAACATTAACAAGAATAAATTAGCAATGCCTAAAATATTATTTATTGTGCTCCAAACTAACATTTTATATTTCAATGGAAAATGACTCATTCTGTCACATTTAAATAGCAAAATGCAACATAAAAAATCTATTTAGAAATTATGTTGATCTTCCCAGCATATGAAAATGAACCAGGCTTCATTGAAATAGCAAAATGTCAACTGCTGTTCACCAAATCAATCCTTAAAGCCTATACAAATCATTGCTAAGATATAAAAGGCTATTTTTTAAAATAAGTGGCTCACCATAATTTTTCTTCTTCTCTCATTTTTATACCCCATTTTCTCCATATCACTATTTTCCTTGAGCTTTTAACCTAAAATCCACATTACATTCATCACATCCAAATAAGAAGTACATTCTGCCAAATCTTTTTTCATAATCTGTATTTCTTTGTTCTCTCTTCCAGTTTCTCTTCCCACAACCTGGCCCAACTCTTTTGAATTCCCAGAATTTCCTACTGTTCCATTGGTTCTCCCTTGGAGGTTGAGAAAGTTATCAAGGGAAGATGTGGGAGAAATGCTTCTGATTCTCTGGGGAGCAGAAAGTGTGTGTATGTCCTGCACCCTCCCCCTCCAACTCCATTTCTTGAGAATCACAGCTCGTATGTTTCACACATGCAGCACTATTAATCATCTTTCTCAAGTGTCATTTTGATTATCATGCCTCTTTTTAGAAGCTTGCAGTCATTTTCAGTTGTCATCTTAGTAAAAATGAAATGGATAATCTTTTAGATTTTTAAAGAGTAATTTCTTAAATGCACAACAATGCTTGATTATTTCAGGAATTTTAAGCAAGCCTTATTAGCACTTCTTTCATCTGAAGATATTTTTATTTTCCCTGGCAAATTAGATGCAATATCACTGAAGGCTTAGGCATTTAACTCAATTAAAACATAAATGTTAAATGCTTCCTTTATTTTAACCCAAGATATTATAATGGAAATGTTAACTTTCCTTGATATGGAAGACATTCACAGAAAACTGGAGATTTCCTTTGAATACATAATTATGCTTTTAAAATACTCAAATTAGTGCTGCATTGGATTATGAGCTGCCATTTCTAATAGTCACTTTGTTCTGACATTTCTACATTAGCAAATTATATTTCTGGGAAAAAATAGTGTCTAGGGACAGCATCTTGTTACTGCCCATGTAAAGTATTAGGAAAAAGTTCTGCCTAAGATTTTGTTTGTTTGATTATCAATGCAATATGTTCAATGACCCTCAGAAGAAAAAAATACTTTTTAAAATTCACCAGTCATTTTAAAATACATTTTGCATTGTAACTGTAAATTTTTGCTAATAATTTTTTAAATTTTGAAGCCAACATTCATCAAATATGAAAAAGTGTTATACTTGTATGATGAATTTGCTTCCTTGGTAAGAGAATAGAAAAAAAAATGAGACCAAGTTCTTGAAAATGTCCTTGGACTAAATGTCTTTATCAAGGTGATCTTTCTATAATGCAAATTACACTTGTTTTTATTTGTGACTTGCTCTAGTAACCTACTGCCAAATGACAAACCACTCCAAATTTAGAAGATTAAAACAAAAATCATGAGTTTTGCTTGCAAATATGAAATGTGAGCAGGGATCAACCCTACCTCACATGCTGCCAGCTGGGATGGCAAGAAGGCTGGGGATGACTTGGCTAGGGTTGGCATCATCCAGTGGCTCATTCACTCACACATCCAGCAGTTGATGATGGCTGTTGTTTAGATGGGACTTAGCTGTAACTATTGGACAGAACACTTATATATGGTCCTTGCTGTGGCTAATTAGCTTCCTCACAGCATGATAGCTGACTTCTGAGAATGCATGTTCCAAGAGGACAATGTGCATGGCATTTTTATGACCTTGCCTCTGAAGCCACATAGACATCATTCAGCCACACTATTTTGGTTAACTCAGTTTCAAAGGTCTTCCCAGCTCAGAGCAAGGGGACATAGACTCTACCAACTGATGACATAATTGTCAACCTCACAGTATAGAAATTGCATTTGAGATGGGATATGTTGTAGAAGCCATCTTTATTCTTTTTTTTTTTTTTTTTTTGAAATGGAATCTCACCCTGTCACCCAGTCTGCAGTAGTGCAGTGGCATGATCTCAGCTCACTGCAACCTCCACCTTCCAGGTTTAAGTGATTCTCATGCCTCAGCCTTCCAAGTAGCTGAGATTACAGGCATGCACCACCACACTTGGCTAATTCTTGTATTTTCAGTAAAGTCGGGGTTTTGCCACGTTGGCCAAGTTGGCCTCGGATTCCTGGCCTCAGGTGATCTGTCCACTTCGGCCTCCCAAAGTGCTGGGATTACAGGTGTGATCCACTGCACCCAGCCAGGAGGCCATCTTTAGAAAAAGCAATTCATCATATGACTGCATACATGTGGGTAATTTCAGAAGAAGTAGCTCCCCTACAATATATGTTCCATAAAATATTTATACTTAGGCTACCCTTGACAAATATTTTCTCTTCACAATACAGGAAATTTTTATGAACTTGATTTTGGGTATGATGATGAGAGCAACTTGTAGGCTGAATATTACTCAAAAGAGCCTCTCTCCTGATGAAAAGCACATTTATCAAATTATTAGTGTTTCACTCTGTCAAGAGCCTAGAGTTGACAGTGAGGCTGCTTTATCATCACTCTTTGTGGAATATACAATTAACTATTACACTTTGATTTGTTCAAAAGAAATTCTTATGTGTCTACAATAAGTAACAAACCTTGGCTGGTCTAACCCTGCACCTTTAAATTGGTCAATTGACTCCTTTGACACAATACTCAACAATTTTGAACATCTTTGCTTTTTTACCCATTTTAACTATGAACATTGCCCCATATGGAACATATGCCCCATAAGGATTATGACCTTAGCCTACACTCCAGACCTCTTGCTTCGGCTCTTGACTAGAGTTTCACACTCATTGCCTTCAAACCTGATGATAGAAAGGACAAGCTTTTGGATCATTTTCTTGAATATGATTCTCACTTTTCTTCGGGCTGCATCCATCCCTTCCCCTACTCCAGTCAACAGGCTCTGCCACTGCTAGTACTGCCAGCCCAGCCTCTGCAACCCTTCCTGAATGCCAGCCTATGAAGTTTCCATTTCTGGGACTAGCAAAGCTGAAAGAATCACACCTCCAACCATGGAGAATGCAAATTTGAATTATGCAGATGCTCACCTCTAATTAGTTTAACATCTAGTTGAAGGTATAATATATGTAGACAACTAAATATAATGCAGAGCAGAATAAATGAGTGTTATAACAGAAATACAAACTCCTTAGCAGTATTAGATGAGTTCAGATAAACACCCGACCAAACATGCTTAATTTCCCTAAAAAAAAGTCATCTGATGTTGACAAATTATATATCATAAACATAGCTCAGCCAACATGTACCTAATTCAGTTGGCTATTCCAAAGGAAGACAGAACTACCTGTTCCTGAGTACCGTAGAAAAATGGTGTCCTAGGGTGAGATATGTCTTAACAATAAATGACACCTCCTACTATCCCCAACCTAGATTTCACAATGTCCAAGGTGGCATGGTGCAGTGTCACTTAATTTCTAGACAAGAAGACAGGCCCCAAACATTTCAACATACTAAAGTTTGTCACTGAAAGCTCTGTAGGAACAGAAAAAAAAAGCGTTGTGAGTGCCCAGAGATGTGCTGAATACCTATGGGAACAGTTCAGATCTCATTTATACTTCAATATACAAACAGTTCCAGCAGTATGTACACTCAAGTATAAATGATCTCATTTAATCATGTAAGTATTCAGGTATGAATGAGATCATTTATACTTGAATATTTGGTTATACACAGTTGGTTACACACAGTTCCAGCAGGATTCAGTGGTTACTGCCTGTGCTGTTGTGTCATACAAAGTTTCCACTTTGTTTATTTTGGATATTATTTAAATTTCCTCTTTGTGTTTCCTACAAAAATTTTAAACATTGCCTTTGATCTTTTCTTTTTATTCAGCTAGCTTGACTCCCTGAAATTCCAAGATATGTTTTGGCACAAGACAAAAAGAGCTGAATAGATTAAATATTTTTCTAATTCTTTTTTAAACTTTGAAGAAAGACAAGTTAAAAGTTATTGTCGATACCATGTGACTTAATCAAAGGTGCTGAATGTGTTTTTTATATGCACTTCAGAAGAATATTTGCTACTTATATCCTTTGAATAATACAGTTGAATCTCTTAGCTCATTTTTCCTTTAACAAAATTGTTAATTTAAGATCTTTTTAATGCTTTATTTTTAATTACTGGAGAAAGCCTTGAGCATTCCAAGAACGTAAGATTTAAAAATAATAATAAAGTAAGCTTCTGTTTGCTGAAGCTAACCCTTTGAATGTGGATGACTAATGTTTGGGGAATGAATAATCATTGTTCATAATTGTGGGTGGTAGTTTCTACACAGCCTGTGGACTAGTTTGTTAATCAAAGTACAATTTCATTTTTGTCTTATATAACCCAATATAAATTATTTGGGATATTGGAAACGTAGGTAAATTTTTAATAAACCAAATATTATTACAGGAAAGAATTCTGAATAATAAAGCCAGTGTTTTGTTGATCTTACTGCTGCCAGTTAACAGTTACTGACTCTGCCTTCTGACTCTGTAATGGTCATTCTCTTCTGACAAAGTATGAGTGTGGACTCTGGTCTGAGAATGGAAAGGAGAGATGTCCTCTTCCTGCTATCCTTCTCCCACAGAAGTCTCTGCAGACATAATAGATGCCTTCTATTGGTAGATTGGGCTCCAGCCTGAGCTGGACTGGGCTTCTGAGCCCTGGTTTCATGTTACTGTGAGAGGAATTCATGGAGCCTGATATGGTTTGGCTGTGTCTCCACCCAAATCACATCTTTAATTGTAGCTCCCATAATCCCCATGTATCATGGGAGGGATCGAGTGGGAGGTAATTGAATCATGGGGGCAGGTTTTTCCTGTGTTGTTCTTGTGAAAGTGAGTAAGTCTCATGACATTTGATGGTTTTATAAAAGGCAGTTCCCCTGCACACGTTCTCTTGCCTGCTGCCTTGTAAGACGTGCCTTTGCTCCTCCTTCACCTTCTACCATGATTGTGAGGCTTCTCCAGCCATGTGGAACTGTGATTCATAAATTACCCAGTCTCAGGTATGTCTTTATTAGCAGTGTGAAAATAGACTAATATAGAGCCTCAGTAGATCCATCCTGATATGGAGGCCACTCATCTCTCAGACACTGGTATCAAAACTTTAAACTTCTGTTCAATATCACTTCCTAGCATTGCAGTTGCCTTCTGGGACTTCAGCCAGCATGGTGGGCTCTAACGCCCCACCCTCTTATACCCTCTTTTCTCTCTCCTGGGAATTTGATCTTATTTCCCCTATGCCCAACGAAAGCTTAAGGTTGTACTGTACATGTGCCAACTTCCAGGCTCACATCAGCCTCCTGACTCCATCTCTGACCAATGAGTTCTCCCACTACTGTGCCAACCACCAGATGACTTCTCTGCGGATTCAGCTCTGGATTCCATCAAGGAACCAATGATGCTCCTTTGATTACCATAAAATGGCACATAGTAGGACTCACTCAGAGGCCAGCCCCCACTTCTCCTCAGTCCTTATTTCTTCACTTTCTCTCCTAAGGGGGTCCCAGCATATTTGTCAGTTCAAACTAATTTGGCAACCACCCACCCATGGCTGAATCTATGCACGACTGTCCTAAAAAAAAGTGTGGCAACTGCATTCCAGGGCTCAAAGACACTGCAGGCCCCACCTCCCACCTCCATCAAAATGCTTTTGCTTTTAGCTGTTATTCCCTGTTTCTGCCTACTGTTTTGTAACTGGATTTTGTCTCTCTGCTTAGTCCCTTTGTATTGTCTCTTCTGCCAGTCTATCTGATTTTCAATTTTAATTCTACATTTGGACTTTCTCACTAATTGCCCTCACTTCCATCCACCTACTGCAGCCTGAGGACAGGTCGAGGACAAGCCTGACATTCCATCGAGACCCGTAGGAACTGGCCAAAGCCCAGCACCCAAGAGGAAACATGGCTGGAAGAAGAGATTGGTAACTACCCAAATCAAAATCTTTTGTTTCATTTGAAATTGCCCCATTCATTCAAAACACTAATCCTTCTCCACTACCGATATACCTCTTAACCCCATCAAGGGAACCCATTTAAATTGCCAGAAGATCAACCCAAAACATATCATCATATTAAAGGAAAAATGAAAGGACATTGGTGGAAGTGATAATAGTATCTCCATATTTCCCTACTGGTTTCAAAACTTTTTTTTACGTTACTAATTCACATCCACAGGATTGGAAGTATTCATTAGAATTAAGTTTAGCTATGAGTGCCAGACACTCCAAGATAAAGTTTATTTCTCTTTTGTATATAAGTGACAGGTCCAGGGATGGCCAGGGACTCAGATGCCTGTATTCTTGCTCTACCATTCCCAGCATAAGATGCTCCTGCAGCGATTATCACATCTATTCTGGACCTAGCTTCAAGGGATGCCAGGAAATGCAGTCTTTAAGTGCCTATGTGTTTAGCTAAAAATTAAGAAAGAAAAAGATACAGATAGATATTACAGAACAATTTGTTTCTGCTACATTGGGCATGTGATTTCTAGTAATGTGTCCATTGAAATACAATTATGAAAAAGGTGTTGGTCCCTGTTCCTCCACTGTCATCATAACATTATGCAAATACATTTCTATGTATGTACCTATTTCTATGTAATGTGCATTTCTGTAGGTATCTAATGACATCCGGAAAAAATCTAATGAATTTTGAAGTACTTGAATCTTTTCTAAAATTTCTGATATCTGAGCCCATTTTATGATTATAAAATGCATTTTATCTACTTTTGCTTCATTGTTTAATGTAAATGAAATAATACAGAAATAAAATATTTGGTTCACTTTATGAGAGGTACAGCATGAACAACCAATTAAAAGTAGTTTCCAGGGATCCTTTGCCAAGAAACAAACAAGTAAAAATGATCTCTAAGTAAAGAAAGGGAATACTTGAAAGTCTTCTTTTTTTTTTTTTTTTTTTTTTGAGATGGAATCTCACTGTGTCACCCAGGCTGGAGTGCAATGGTATGATCTCAGCTCACTGGTTCACTGCAACCTCCACCTCCCAGTTTAAATGATTCTCATGCCTCAGCCTCCCAAGTAGCTGGGATTAGAGGTGCCTGCCACCACACCTGACTCATTTCTGTATTTTGGTAGCGATGGGGTTTCACCATGTCGACCAGGCTGGTCTCGAACTCCTGACTTGAAGTGATCCACCCACCTCAGCCTCCCAAAGTGCTGGAATTACAGGAGTGAGCCAGCATGCCCAGCTGAAAGTCTTCTTCATTAATACCTTTTATCTCGATATCATTTCATGAGTTTAAAATTTCATCATTAGCAGTTTATTAATTCTGAAAAAAGAAGCCTCTGAGGTACATATGGAAGAAATTATTAAGATATCTTACAGTTGATGAAACTAAGACTGAGAGGTAAATTATTTACATATATTACATAACTAATTGAGGATAACTGTGGGTCTAGAACCGAGGTTCTTTGACTTTTGAATCCAGTGGTATTAATTTCCTTGTTCGCAATTCCTAGGTGTAACTGCATTTATTCATGCATGTATGCATGCATGCATTCAACAATGACTTTTTAAATTTTGTTTTGATAAAAGTCCCTGGAATACACTCCTTTTAGGGGGTGTAAAAACTACCAAAGGAAATACCCTTTTAAAATAAAACATTCTTCAGTCTCGGGCTCTCCCCCAAAGTGGTTGCTTACTAGATACTGATATAGATATCTATATTGACATAAAGTAGGCTGGTGCAACTTGAATATATACAGCAGGGTACATTCAGATGCCAGTGCTATATTTGAAATCCAAATGTGTGTTTAGTTTTAAACCTGGTATTTTTAAAAATTAATGGTTTGGTTTTCTTTTACTGGGCAGCCTAGCTTCTGGAAGACCTTCACTGTGATCATAGAGTACAGAGTATTAGCTGTGGTTACCCAGGTGACCTGGCACCTAAGTGCCCAACCACTCAACAATAAAAGTCAGGATTACACCCAGCTAGGCCCATGAAGCAACCACAGACTCAACTGGTTATTTTTTTTCCTAACCAAACAAGATTAGACCAGTATTTTTGTGGACCTGTATATTCTCAGAACATTCTTATCTTCGTCTCTCCTTCATCAGCAGAGGCCAAACAATGTCAACTGTATCCAGCAGTTGACACTGAAGTGTCAACTGTAACCAGCAACTAACTCCCTTTCGGGCCAGGGTTGATTATTACCTTTATTCTACAGCTCTGTGTCTTAATGTAAAGCATTCAGTGGGAAGAAAAAGAATGTCCTTCTAAGCTGCACATCTAGAACCAGAACATATCCCCATTCAGAATAAACTAGTATTCAATTTCTGCCTAGCAAAGATAAAATGGAGAGCAATATATATGTATGTTTCTTACCCTCCTGAAGTTGACAATCTAAGAATCTAAAACTAAAGACAGACAAACAAGTAACTAG